>NC_000010.11:48021883-48173398 GCF_000001405.40 Homo sapiens
AAACCCTATTCAACAAATGGTGCTGGGATAATTGGCAAGCCACATGCGGGAGAATGAAACTGGATCCTCAACTCTCACCTTACACAAAAATCAACTCAAGATGGATCAAGGACATAAATCTATGACCTGAAACCATAAAAGTTCTAGAAGATAACATTGGAAAAACCCGTCTAGACACTGGCTTGGGCAAAGACTTCATGACCAAGAACACAAAAGCAAATGCAACAGAAACAAATAGGTGAGACTTAACTAAAGAGCTTCTGCACAGGAAAAGGAACAATCAGCAGAGTATACAGACAACCACAGAGTGGGAGGAAATCTTCGCAGTCTATACATCTGACAAAGGGCTATTATCCAGAATCTATGAGGAACTCAAACAAATTACAATTACAAAAATATGGAACCAGCCCAAATGCCCATCAGTCAATGAGCGGATAAAGAAACTGTGATATACATACATATTATATATATATATATATGAGGAATACCACCTCAGCCATAATAAGGAATAAATTCATGGCATTCCCAGCAACCTGGATGGAAGCAAGACTATTATTCTAAGTGAAATAACTCAGCATGGAAAACCAAATATCATGTTCTCTTTCCTACGTGGGAGCTAAGCTATGAGGATGCAAAGCCATAAGAATGATACAATGGACTTTGGGGACTTGGGGGAAAGGCTGGGAGGAGGGTGAGGGATAAAAGACTACAAATTGGGTTCAGCGGATACTGCTCAGGTGATGGGTGCACCTAAATCTCACAAATCATCACTAAAGAACTTAGTCATGTCACCAAATGCCACCTGTTCCCCCAGAAACCTATGGAAATAATAAATAAATAAATAAAGTACAGCATTTTTCTCAGCAAACATAAAATAAAACAAAGACTAAAGTTCATATTTTTCACTCTCCTTTTGGGCAGGACAAATTTTAGATAGGTTTTTAAAGAATTAGTAACTTTTTTCCTTTTTCCGAGACAGGGTCTCCCTTTGTTGCCCAGGCTGGAGTGCAGTGGTGCAATTATAGTTAACTGCAGCCTCAAACTCCTGAGCTCAGGTGATCCTCTGCCTCAGCCTCCTGAGTAGGTAATATGAAAGGCGCATGCCACGAGGCCTGGCTAATTTGTTATTTAACCTTTTTGTAGACATGAGGTCTTGCTATGTTGACCAGGCTAAAAATGAACAAATCTTAATTAACTTAAATATTTCTAACACCTTGGGCATTCAGGAAAACAGCTCCATTTATGTTGTGAAGTAATGGGAAGCATATGGCAGTGGATAAACTTTGAATGAAAATATTAAACAAGGCCTTAGGAGAAAAGTGTAATATGCTTATTATAGATACATTAATTTAAAAAATTCTCTGGCTTAATATCATTATACTCAAATTAGACTTTGATTTAAACATAGGTCCTAAATTTGGATTAAATATAATAGATTGACCACAAATTTATTTCGTCTCCCTCTGGAAGCCTCATTAGTCATAAAATAAAGGTTACACCCATGACCAGCACAGAAGGTTGACAGAGATAATTTTTAGTAAATGCTGAGACATAAAAAGTAGACAAAGGAGTGGTAAATAACACAGAAACACAACTTTGCTGACTACAGAAAGTGACTGGAACAGAAGCGAGCCAGTTTGTCTTGCAGAACTAAAGGCAGGTTGTGAACTTACAGGCAAATGGCACTTTGGAAAGTAGGGTAAAATGTAAAAAAAAAAAGCCAGCAAGGTCAGTTGCAAATCTCTAACTAGAGCCCAAAGTCTACCTGTCCTTCCATCTGACAAGAAACTTAGATGTGTGTTCTCTGGATATATCAAACCTGAGAATTTCTGGCTCAGAGATACTATGGCTTAAACCTGAGATATAAAGAAAACTGTACACCAAAAATGGAACTCCAACTTTCTTTGCTAACTCTGCTTTTCCTTTCCAGGCAGAAAATTGGGAGATCCTTCTCAGAAGAAACTGAAATGTCTTCAGTAAAGATCCCCAGATAATACACTGAGGTCTCCCAAATGAAAAGCTAGTCAGGCTTCTAAGGCCTCACACTGAGTGCTATCAGTTAACAGAAATCCTGCTTCCAAATAAAGCAGGCCAGGGACCACCACACATTGGAGGGAAGCCTCCAAGAAAAGAGATCAAAACAATAGAAAAAAGGAATTGATAGGACCAGTCAAAATCAGGAGCAAAACTTTAAAAAAAAATCTTAAAACACTCTCAAAAAATATAAAATTCAATAGAAATAGTAGAGGATAAAGTCACAGAATATCCCAGAACTAGAATAAAAAGACAAACTGAAAAAAATAGAAGGGGAAAAATTAAAAATCAATGCAGGTGTACTGGTCTAAGCAGCCTAGCATCTGAAGAACAAGACTATCAGTAAAAAAGTAACAGAGAAAATAAAAAAAAAATTCTCAAGAAGAGATAGTCTGCAGGTTTAGTAGCCTCAATAAAATGAAAAGATCCCCAACAAGCTGTTATAAAATTTCAGAACCTTAGAGAGAGAGATTCTAAAAAGCTTCCGCAGATAACTAAAACCTGGTTGTAAATAACATATCACACACTGGCAATAGATTCAAGAACAACACTGTAATAAGAGCACAACTGCAAAATGTCTTCAGAACCATACAATTTAGATTCAACCTAGAGGTGTACTCTCTATCAAAGAGGAGGGATTTTAACATCTCCACCCAGGAAAATGTGTTCAAGTACAACTAGAGACGATAACAGGACAGAAGGAAACACAGAATCTAGGACTCAGGCGATCCCACACAAGACAGCAGTTACGTGAGATCCCAAAAGACTTTAAGGAGTTAGCCCAGAAAAGCAGACATCGAGCATATCTAGGGAAACCCACGCTATATTGAACTAGGATGACAAAAGGCCAAAGAAAGTTGCCCCCCACACACACATAAAAAGGAACAGATGTGTTTTTGCAGATGGAAAATATCTTTGAAAGGCATGTGATAAATGCTACAATACTTGGGGGAAAAACAGCTGTTAGAAAATAGGCAAATGAATATAGTCAGAAAATTAGCTTCATGCTAAAAAATAATGGATGTGAAAGCAAACAGAGCACCCAGAGGCTACTTAATGATATTTGGATAGATAAACTAACATAGGCTAGGAAAAAAGAAGATCCAGGAGAATTGCAGAAGTGCTCAGATTTCAGAACTGTTTCAGAGACAGGATGAAGGACATGGAATGCAGAGGCACAGTGAAAACACCATATGACTTAGCAGTGAATAATATTTGCAGAGTCATAATCATGTAAATATTACTGATTTAATTAAAAAGTGTGCTACAATTGGAAGAAACACAGGGAGAAACATAAGATCATGGTGTAGCGAGGAAGATACGCTTTTACCCGCTGTGATAGAAAGTCAATAGACAGTGCTGGCAATTAACTTAACTATTCTATTTTTGTTCTTTCATTAAAAATAAGATTAAATATTTAAGGCACTTTTTTTTTTTTTTTTTTTTTGAGACAGAGTTTCGCTCTGTCGCCCAGGCTGGAGTGCAATGGCACGATCTTGGCTCACTGCAACCTCCGCCTCCTGGGTTCAAGTGATTCTTCTGCCTCAGCCTCCTGACTAGCTGAGATTACAGGCATGCACCAGCACGCCCGGCTACTTTTGTATTTTTAGTAGATACAGAATTTCACCATGTTGGTCAGGGCTGTCTCAAACTCCTGACCTCAGATGATCAGCCTGCCTTGGCCTCCTAAAGTGCTGTGATTACAGACGTTAGCCACCATGCCCAGCCTTAAGGCAGATCTTTTGAACCAGACTATTGAAATTTAACTTAAATGTCAGAAATCTTTAAAAGGTGGACACGCTAAGCTAAACACTTTTCTGGATAAATTTAATACTCAGGAAAATAGAAGAGATTTAGAAAATCCACAAAAAGAGGTCCATGCTACCACCACCAGGTCCACATTGTAATTTAAAGAAATCAAGAGAGACATCCTTTTATGTCAAACTATCAATTTCTTAACTATTTGAGTGTTTACTTACATGGTTTGTACAGTTGCTTCTTCTTATTTCTACAACTAAGAATAAAAAAAAAAAAAAACTGGTCACTTCTGATACAAATACCATAAAATAAAAGTAGTTGTTAACATCTTACTGATTACTCCTATGTAAAATGAGACAAAATTCCATTTAAAAAAATAATTTTCAATAATTTATAATTTAAATTATCTGGCATGATTAATTTCATAAGTCAAATCTAAAAACTTAGTTTTTCATTTAGTTTACTTTTTGTTTCTATTACATACAAATGAAAGAATCCTCATGTACAAAAGAAAAGGGTAAAAAAATTAGGCCAGATGAAAAATTTAGCTAATAAAAAGTTTAACTGTTGCATATATGAGCCATGATCCATTAGTATTCTCTCATTCTGCATTTACACATAGCTTACTTTAATTATCAGACTCTAAGAGCTAACAGCTCTAAGAACTACGTCCTGACCAGACACCTATCTCTAGATGCAACAGAATCCCTGTAAGCATCTTGAACCACACTTAGTGGTTATCTACTAATATGTCACTAAAAACAAATCAAAATTAAAAAACGGTCTTTACACAACTGGAAAGTAACGTATCTTAATTTTTTTTTTTTTGAGATGGAGTCTCACTCTGTCACCTAGGCTCGAGTGCAGTGGTGGGATCTCAGCTCACTGCAACCTCTGCCTCCCAGGTTCAACCAATTCTTCAGCCTTAGCCTCCTGACTAGCTGGGACTACAGGCACGTGCCACCATGCCTAGCTAATTTTTTTTTGTATTTTTAGTAGAGACAGAGTTACACTGTGTTAGCCAGGATGGTCTTGATCTCCTAACCTCGTGATCCACCCACCTCAGCCTCCCAAAGAGCTGGGATTACAGGTGTAAGCCACAGAGCCTGGCCTAAATTTTGATGTTAAAATGAGTATACAAACCTAATTGGACATGGTGTCTGCAGCTCAAAAAATCATTTTTTTTCCTCTAAAAAGAGGCCAGAATAATAAAAGCCCCAAGAGGGACTTGGGCCATGCTTTGTTTCCTACACTGCCTCTGCCTTTGATGCTGGAAGGGCCTTGTAGGCAAAAGTTCCTACCACCGAAGAGTGAGGGACATGGAATAGCTTTTCTTTTACTGCTTCCATGCTCTCTAGGTGTGAGAAGCCCATGGCTCTGGAAGGAACTGGGAAATACAATTCTGATATGTTTTGGATATGTTGCCCCTCCAAGTCTCATGTTAACATGTGACCCTTAATGTTGGAGACAGGGCCTAGTGGGAGGCGTTTGGGTAATGGCAGTGGATTCCTTATGAATGGCTTGGTCCCATCCCCATGGTAATAAGCAAATTCTCATTATGGTAATTTAAAAGACTGTGGTACTGGCCAGGTGCGGTGGCTGAAGCCTGTAATCCCAGCACTTTGGGAGGCTGAAGCGGGTAGATCACTTGAGGTCAGGAGTTTCAGACCAGCCTGGCTAACATGGTGAAACCCTGTCTCTACCAAAAATACAGAAATTAGCCAGGTGTTATGGTGCCCACCTATAGTCCCAACTACTCGGGAGGCTGAGGCAGGAGAATTGCTTGAACCTGGGAGATGGAGGTTGTAGTGAGCCAAGATCGTGCCATTGCACTCCAGCCTGGGCAACAGAGTGAGACTCCATTTCAAAAAAAAAAAAAAAAAGAGTGTGGTACCTTCCCCCTTCCCCTCTCTCTTTCACCGTGTGGAACCACCTGCTTCCCCTTTGCCTTTTATCATGATTGTAAGTTTGCTGAGGCCCTCACCAGAAGCAGATGTTAAAGCCATGTTTGTACAGCCTGAAAATCTTTGAGCCAATTAAACCTCTTTTTTGTTATAAATTACCCAGCCTTAGGTATCTCTTTATAGTAATGTAAAAAATGAAGACAAATTCTAACCAGAAATAACTGACTCAAGATGGGCAAAGTCTACTCAAACTATAAAAACAAAGGTTACAAACTCCCGTGTTTTACTGTGCTGCATTACTTCGCACACTATTATAGAACCCTCACTTGTATTCTTGCTGTTTAAGTCAACTGGAAAACTTGGCTGTGTATGGCTTGTTGGCAAATAAATGAGGATTTAACATAACATTAGGGAAATAAGCAGGAGTAGGGCATGTTTAAATTTACATGACATCAAATGAAAAAGTTAATAACCTAAAACTTTTGAGTAGCATGAACTTGGATGTGGTAAATGAATGTGGTCAGAGGACTGTGTAAGAGGAGGCCCAAATCACAGATTCAATCCCTGATGATAAACAACTATGTTTTTTAATTTGTTTAAATGAAAACCAAGCTGAAGCCTAAGTTCTATCATTCATCTTTAAAGTGTACTTTTTGGAGCAAGGGAAAAGGGATTATAAATAAAGATAAATCCATTAATTATAAATAAAGATAAATCCAAGAATTATAAAGAGAAATCCATGACTCCTCCAACACATGACAAATTAATTGTGTTGATAAAAAGATGGCAAAATGTATAAACAAAAAGGTTACACGTTTTCACTAACATCATAACAACTAAAGGAAAGTATATCACATATTAAAATAAGACAAGTGAACATGTGAAAAGGTGAAAAATTTAAACCAATATGAGTTTTTCTAAATACTTTCTATAACCTGATCAAACAAGAGCTTTTATTCTTTCTCTTGGCGGAAAAAACAATGTTGTCTCACCATCTGTTTGAGAGTTCCTCTGGAATATTGTGCTTGCCTCTGGATTGGCAGAAGGGTTAAACTCCAAAGCTATATGCATAGAGGAAGAAAAGAAAAAGAGATGCAATCATTGATAAAAATTTATCAACTCGTTTATTCGGCTGCTGCATTTAGGCTATTTCACTATCTCTACTTTGATTCTTATCCATTGAAATGAATGTATAGACATAAGATAGAGCCAGGCAAGATGGCACATGCTTGTAGTCCCAGCTACTCAGGAGGCTGAGATGGGAAAATCACTTGAACCCAGGTCAGGAAGTTGAGGCCAGCATGAGTAACACAATGACACCCTCCTTTATTTAAAAAAAAAAAAAAAAAAAAAAAAAAAGAGGTAAATTTTGGCTTTGAGTTGTGTAAAATCAACTTTGCATAAAATAAATCAAGATGGCAGTAAGTTTTAAAAGACAGTCTATTTTATAGGCAAAATATAAGATGTATTCTAGAGTTTTTAAAATTTTTAAAAAGTAAATTCATCATATCTGTCACTTCCATTTCATTCTGAGGACACAGAACCTTAGTTCTCTTGAGTAGCTGTCTTCCATAGTCATGTGATATCTCTAAGTTTTCATTTCTTCATTAGCAATACATAGGGAGAACATACACAGGCCTTATTTGTATTGGAAAGGGCCAAGTGAGACATACATAAACTGTGTTGTAATCCTAAAGAATGACAATAAAGAGCCATTTTTGGGCTCTCATCCAACACTACCCATCTACTAACTGGTGTGTAACATCCATCAGGCTTTCCGAACTTCACCAAGCAGAGTATAAGTTTATACAAGTACTTACATGCTTTGTGTATAAAGGTACAATCAATTAATTCACATAATGCATTTGTTTATTCTAAAGCAATCCTTAAATATCTTGAAATGTGAAGATAGTACTTCCAAGTTACAAAGTCACACTCATAATGAGTCTTAATTATCCTACCTCTTTAAAAATTAAGAGCCCAACCAAAGTTTAAATAGAAGAGCTATAAGACATTTCCTCTACAGTAATGAAATCTCTGGCATTTAAATGAAACCAATAAGCCAACTGGATTTAATATGTTTATGATGCAATGTTTTCTATTTTGAAAATTTCAGTTTTTATTCAAGAACCATATTATTACCCAGAATTACTTTTACTTAGATTCATCTCTTTGCAAAATTTTAGAGGCAAACCAACTAATTGTTTTCTGTTTTCTACCGGCTCCCATCCCCTGCCTCTGCCAACAGTGTAGAGACTAAAAAACTCCAACTCTTTCCTTTTTTTTTTTGTGAGACGGAGTCTCGCTCTGTCACCCAGCCTGGAGTGCATTGGCGTGATCTCTGCTCACTGCAACCTCCACCTCCCAGGTCCAAGCAATTCTCCCGCCTCAGCCTTGTGAGTAGCTGGAACTACAGTCATGCGCCACTACGCCCAGCTAATTTTTGTATTTTCTTTTTTAGTAGAGACAGCGTTTCACCATGTTGGCCAGGCTGGTCTCGACTCCTGACCTCAGGTGATCCGCCTGCCACAGCCTCCCAAAGTGCTGGGATTACAGGCGTGAGCCACCAAGCCCAGCCAAAACTGTAACTTTCTTATCTTTGAACAAGATGCTATTGTCAGGAGGGGAAGGGACAAAGGGGGAGCCACGGCAACAAACACTCTTACAGGGAAGGTCTGACATTTTAACCTGCAATCTTTATATTACACATTAAAAGTCTACATTGACGTTTCATGTCTTTTGAAAGTTTTGACCGTGAACCAATCCCCACCTCTCTTTTAGAACAAGGAGGTAAATAAAGTCTGTTAAGTCACCAGAATAAATCTGGAGACACATTTTCTGTTAAAGTAAGAATTTTAAAGTAATCAGAGCCTCATAGGTAAACTCCTTTGAGAAACCCCAAACACACACACACAACCATTTTTCTGCAGCCCTGGCTGTGACATTTTATACCTTTCACAATTATTTTAAGCACTCTCCTTTTTTCTCTTTCCTTCTGTGTTCAAATTACAGTTAGAAGAAACTAAGCAGCTTCTATCAAGGTGACTTAAAGCAGCCCATTAAGAATACCATATAGCCTCTCCCGTGGCAACCTCCATTCTGATTTTAAATAAGAAATCCCCAAATATTTGAATAGGAACTGTCCTGAGATTTGGCTACTTTAACAAAGGAAACAATTAGGCACTTACCTGGTTCCTTCACTTAGGTACCATCTGGATAGGTTCAAAGAAAAATTAAGATGGGTACTGAAAAGTTGGGATATTTGAGTTTTTATTGAGAAAAGGAAGAGAATAGCTCAAAGAAGCCTAAACAAAGTCCCACAGGATAATAAACAGAGCTACAGACACTGTTGTCTCACCATCTGTTTGAGAGTTCCTCTGGAATATTGTGCTTGCCTCTGGATTGGCAGAAAGGTTAAACTCCAAAGCTATATGTATAGAGGGAGAAAAGAAAAAGGACGTAATCATTTATAAAAATTTATCAACTCATTTATTCAACTGCTGCTTATTCGACAAGAGCCATAAATAAATGGTCCCATGCCAGCCTGGGAGAATGAGATGAGAGAGCAAGAACTGGGCGATTGGGAGGGGAGGTGAAAAGAAACTGACTGGACTCGGTGGGGAAAGACTAAGGGGTGGGAATTCAAGGCAGAGCCAGCTTTTGTTCCTGGCCAGCCCCCGGGAAAGCTGGCTACAAGCAGAAAGGAGCTCGAAGTGTAGGATGCCTCAAAGGGAACCTTGGGGACAGCAGCAGCCAGAGGCAAACCGAGGGTAGATGGCACCTATCACCTCCTTACCTTCAGGCATCTCCCGGTCACGAACCTGGTGCATGTGGAGGTCCTCACCAACTTCAACAGTCACCTCAGCAGGCTGTACAGCAGCAGCCATGGGCGCTCCTGCCATCCTGTCCTCAGCTACTGCCTCATAGATCTCAGATTCAGAGGGACACACCGACCCCTGCTGCTGGGTCAAACTCGAGGCTGACGCTAGGGTGCACACGACAGGTCAGTATGTTCCCCATGGGGCGCCTCTACTGCCTGCCACCACCTGTGCCTCTGCTCACAGCTTTGGCCACGCACTCCCGCTGTCCTAGGCCGAGGCTATGCTGCACTTGCAGAGATGGTCTTCCCGCTCCTCGCCTGCCCACCTCACAGTGCGGCCCCGGGCACCAGCCCTGGTCCCGGCCCCGGCCCCGGCCCCGGCTAGGGCTGTGGGCCAAGGCCCGCACCCTGCTGCCTCCCCTGAGTTGACTTGTCTGGGAGGGTGAAGACCAGCCGGCTTATTTAATAGGTTGTGAACCCAACAAGCGCTGAGAGACACAACAACTGCCTGAAGAGAGAACAGACGGAGCTCCTCCTCCTTCTGTAGTCACCTACAGACTGAAGCCCACTGGCCCCAGGTGGGAGCCCAGGCATGTGGCACACAATGCCCCACCCCACACTTCACAATGCCCTCCCCGACACCTCACAGTGCCCCACCCTGCCTGCCACCCCTCCCCAACAGCTCAGAATGCCCCTGCCTTGGCTGCCCCACCCTGTGGCTTATGATGCTGCTGCTCTCCTGGCCCCTCGTGCAGTGCCAGTGGGACTAAGGTTTTCATTCATCACCAGCTTCCTGAGATTTTAGTCCTAAGAAAAGCACAGGGTAGTTCATTCCTCGAAGCCAGCTTCCTCTATGAGTTCTACATAAAGCCTCAGTAGAGTGGGTCCCATTAGCAACCAAGTTGAACAACTTTTATTTGCTGTCTGAATATAGATACACCTGAATTGTTGACTGCTTTTGTAACTAAACACTCCTCTCCTGTCTTCCAACGAGTGGTCATTTTTGTCCGCAACTTGATCACAGCAATCCCTGGGGCCCTAGCTCTACTCTCAATAAAGAGTTATGGCTGTGTGTTTTGAATGACACCTTAGGACCCATCCTGCCTCCACCTCCTTCTCCATAAAATAGAAACCTAACTTGTCCCTCCAAGCTCTGAAATGCTGAAACTTACCAACTCCCTTTTCTCCCCGCTATTTCTTCCTTCCATGGCAGGGACTTTCAGATTTTCTTTCTTTTACTAACAAGGCACTAAACATGATTTTCTCATACAAAATCGAGAGCCATAAAGTGGCTTACCACAGTCCTATTTCAATAAAGATGAATACTCGACATCTGGCAAGTAGTGTGTGCCTGACAGTGTCCCCACTGTGCTATGCTCATTTAACCCTCAGAAACAATCTCATGTTACAGATTTTACAGAAGTTGTTGGGACAGAGAAGGTAAGTAAACCCCCCCAAGGTCACATGACTGCTAAGGGTGGGGCCATAGTTTGATCCCAGGTAGTCTGAATTCCCCAATTGCTTAAGCATGATTATCAGAAAGTATAGCAGTCTGTTTTCACACTGATATAAAGAAACACCTGAGGTTGGGTAATTTTTAAAGGAAAGAGGCTTAATTGACTCAGTTTCACATGGCTGGGGAGGCCTCAGGAAACTTACAATCATGGCAGAGGGGGAAGTCCTTCAGGAAACTTACAATCATGGCAGAAGGGCAGGTCCGACTTACATGGTGGCCGCACAGAGAGTGGGAACATGTGAAGGAGCAACTGTCAAACATGTATAAAACCATCAGATCTCAGCTGGGCACGGTGGCTCACACTTGTAACCCTAGTACTTTGGGAGGCCAAGGCAGGTGGATCAACTGAGGTCAGGAGTTTGAGACCAGCCTAGCTAATGTAGTGAAATCCTGTCTCTACTAAAAATACAAAAATTAGCTGGGTGTGGTGGTGCATGCCTGTAATCCCAGCTACTCAGGAGGCTGAGGCAGGAGAATCACTGGAACTCAAGAGGCAGAGACTGCAGTGAGCCAAGATCGTGCCATGGCACTCTTGCCTGGACAACAGAGCAAGCCTCTATCCCAGGAAACAAAACAAAACAAAACCCTATAAGATCTCATGAGGACTTACTGAATATCACAAGAACAGCATGAGGATAACTGCCCCTGTGATCCAATCACCTCCCCCTAGGCCCCTCCCTCGACACATCGGGATTATGGGGATTATAATTCATGATGATATTTGGGTGGGGACATGGCAAAACCATATCAGAAAGTAAAGGTAGAAGTCAAGCTTGGATGGGAAATGACATTGTAGATTATTATTATTATTATTATTATTATTATTATTTTGAGACGAAGTTTTGCTCTTGTTGCCCAGTGAAATTGTTTCTCTAATTTCATTTTCAGATTGTGTCTTGTAGATGTATAGAAATACAATTGATAAATGATTCTGGCTATTAACCTTTTATGCTTCAACCTTGCTGAACACTATTTTTTTTTTTTTTTTTTTGAGACGGAGTTTCGTTCTTGTTGCCCAGGCTGGACTGCAATGGCGTGATCTTGGCTCACTGCAACCTCCGCCTCCCGGGCTCAAGCGATTCTCCTGACTCAGCCTCCCGAGTAGCTGGGATTGCAGGCATGCGTCACCATGCCCGGCTAATTTTGTATTTTTAGTAGAGACGGGGTTTCTCCATGTTGGTCAGGCCCGCCTCAGCCTCCCAAAGTGCTAGGACTACAGGAATGAGCCATCGTGCCCAGCCAGATTCGTATATTTTTAAAAGAATTTTTTTTACTTTTTATTTTTTTTTTTTGAGACAGAGTCTCACTCTGTTGCCCAGGTAGTGGCACAATCATTGCTCACTGCAACCTCCACCTCCTGGGTCCAAGTGATTCTCATTCAAGTGCCTAAGCCTCCCAAGTAGCTGGGATTACAGGATCCCGCCCCCATGCTCAGCTAATGTTTGTATTTTTAGTAGAGATGGGGTTTCACCATGTTGCTCAGGTTGATCTCGAACTCCTGACCTCAGGTGATCCACCTGCCTTGGCCTCCCAAAGTGCTGGGATTGCAGGCGTGAGCCACCACTCCCGAACAGAACAACATTTTTTTGATGTGGATTTTAAAATGCCTCCCCTTCTTTCAACATTAAGTCCCTTCTACATGCCAGGCACTGTATGTGTGAAATAGTCCCAACTCTCAATGAGTGTAGGCAGATACACAAACAAAGGCTTAAGGAGGTCAGTTTTCTGAGACCATACTGCTGGACAGTATATGAACCTGGGATACAAACCCACCTCTATTTGACCTCAAATTTGATGCTGGGGTGGTTTTAATTTTATTCTGGGAATTTCAGTCATTCAACCATAAAAAGGTGAAAAGTCTCTGTCAGATGTGCGTGTAGTGGTCTGTATAATAAAGACTGAAGGAAGCAACCAAACCAATTAAGAGACTTTCTCTAAAGGCAGAGTAATGCTAAGGGCAGTGGCAGTGACAAAAGTGGAGGAAAAAATCTGTGATCATTTGGGAGACAGAATAGGAAGTGCTTGGTCATGAGATGTGAAAGAAGAGGGGAAGTAGAAGGAAAACAGAGCTGCTCAGGCTCTGCTGGGGAAGACTGGGTATGTAGCAGTGCCTTCCTCCTGGCCGAGAATGTAGGAAGAGAAATAGGTAAGGAGGAAAAGATAGTTTTTTACTCTCAGTGTCACATTAAAATGGAACTCTCTGGTCAAAAGTTGAATATAAATCTCTGTAGGCTAAGTCCATTTGTGACATCCCAACATATGTTTTCAAAAATAACATACACACTAAATCAAGCCATTAAGCGTAACTGGGGAAATTTCCTAAAATTTACATGCTAAAAAATCACCATTTTTCATTTATTACTTTCATGGAGCAACTTTGAATCTATGGTTACAGCAGGTGAGGCACCTTGTATAAAATAAAGCTAATACATGAAATAAAACCATTTAAAATTCTATTGTTCTCAGAGAATGGAGAAAGCAATTGAAGCCATGGGTGTGGAGGTGACTGCCTTGAGAAGTTGTGTATAGTAAGGAGAACTGGGAAGAAAGAAGACCTGGAGAATAGGGTGATTTGCACGGCATTAAGTGAAGCTTGAAAAAGTGAGCACTGGGAGTCAAGAGACATGTATGAATCAGGAATGGCTGCTCCTGTGAGTTGTTAGAAAGGAGATGATGCCTTCTTTTCATATCTATAACAGTAGCACCTAGCACAGTGCCTGTTCAATAGGTACTTGACATGTATTATCCCAATGCAGAGTCAAATTTTGCCAGGAAGGCAGGAAAGCTACAAATTAGCTATGGCAACTTAGTGATTGGGCTTGTGTGTGTGTGTGAGCGAGCTGGATGTCAGGCAGTAGGCAAAGTAGTGAACTGGAGGTGAGAAAACAATGACACAAACTCAGGGCTTCTCTTCCCAAGTATTTGGCTGAGAAGAGAGATGTAGTATTAAAGGGAGATATGTGGTAAAGGAAGACTTTTATTTCAAGATTCAACAAAAGCGTGAGTATACTTCTATGTTAAAGGGAAAGAGCCAATAGAAAAAACACATTTTTGAGGTTAGAAGAGAAGGAAGAACTAATGCAGAAGGGCCCCAAAAGGCACAGGTGCGTGTAATCCGGATCAGGGACAGATTAGCTTTGGATTCCTACAAAAGCAAGAAGGGAGAAAGGACCATGTGACACTAGAGCTATTTCTGGTAAAGGAAAGGTTTAGGAAAAGATCTTTTGATGACCTTTATTTTAACAGAATGTTTTTTTTTTTTTTTTTTTTTTGTTTTTTTTTTTTTTGAGATGGAGTCTTGCTCTGTCACCCAGGCTGGAGTGCAGTGGCACGATCTCGGCTCACTGCAACCTCTGCCTCCTGGGTTCATGCCATTCTCCTGCCTCAGCCTCCTGATTAGCTGGGACTACAGGCACCCGTTACCATGTCCAGCTAATTTTTTGTATTTTTAGTAAAGATGGGGTTTCAACGTGTTAGCCAGGATGGTCTCCATCTCTTGACTTCGTGATCCGCCCATCTCGGCCTCCCAAAGTCTGGGATTACAGGCGTGAGCCACTGCACCCGGCTAGACTTAAAAAAAAAAAAAAATACTGTGGGAAAAAGGATATTATGTATAGAAAAGTCTACACTTCTTGATACAACTAACTAAAAAAAGCCTGATACACTAAACAAAACCCAAATAATGTCTTCCCTAAAAGTGGGTAACTTGAAAAGCAATTCGAGCAAAAATCAAGGAGTTCAATTATAAATAAGTATATCAACAACGTGAAAGATGGGTTTAATTTTTCCCACAAAAAGTTAAAAGAAATAACAGCAGTTTTAGAGGAAGAGGAAAAAATAATAAGAAAATTACATGCAGTTGCAAAATGTGTGACTATTTACAAACTCTAACATATAACTACAAAACGGACCAGAAGAATCATTATCATAGGAAGCAAAGGGTCATTTCAAAAATCAGAGGAGGGATGATTCATATTTAATTTAATTCTGTGGAAAAAATTTAAGTAACCTTTGAGGACAAAAATAGGTGATATGTTGAAATGCGGGAAACCACAGTGGAAGGAAAAAGAATTCAAGAAAGCTCAGTTTCAGTAACCAGTATCTAGTAAAATCTTCAGGACCTAGAGGCTACAATCTGCATTAATAGTGTCTGAAGACCTAGAAATGTCATTAAATACCATTTTGGATAATTCTTGTAGACTTGAGATGATGTCTATTTAAAGTTACAAAATAGTGCCCGTATTTCTGTATTCACTACAGAAAACAATTGGATATGGAAAAGAAACTAACATGCTATGCCACAATCTCTAAAGAAAGATTAGGGATGTTTCAGCTTAAAGCAAGAATAATCACAATAAAGTTTTACAACCCTTTGCAAGCATATATGAAAAACTTACAAAAAGTTTGTAATGATCTTTTCTTAAGCTAAGAGAATGGAAAAAATGAGAAAAATTAAATTATAAAATGAAACTTTGGTTTAGAGGTAAGAAACATTTGATGACAGTCAAGAGATCAGGGTTGTACAGTGTATTATGTGAATGTTGTGACTCATTGGTTTCATCTTGAATATCATAACTTGACATTTTGTAAAAGTGATTTTTCATGGGAGTTTTTTCAGGTGCCCTGAAAAGTCCTGTCCCATGAGAAGCGAATAATAGTCTTCCATATTCTTGCGATATCTTAATGAATAGCATCTTCTACAGTCTTCCATTGTTTAGTCCTTGGAGAGACACTGACTGAAGCTGTGAGGTTTCACAATGACATGTCAGCCAAATACATATGCTCAGATTTACCATTTATCAAGAGGTCTTCACACTATCAATTGTGCAATTATCATTCTACACACAGGCAGTGATAAAGGGAGTAAAAAACCACAGCCATGGATCGGGAGACCAAGGTACCTCCAGAGGAGTCCAGTGGGTCCAGAAGCCCTTTGGATGTTGGTCAGAGGCTCCTCTTGGGCAGAGATCACAGCAGCAGCCAACAGGTCTGGTGAAATCCTTAAGAGTTCTCATGGACAAAGCTTGTGAAGGCATCTTAGACAAGATCTTGTCTTTGCTGGTTTTATGATCCTCTGCAGATGGGTCTATTCTCATTATCTCAGCCACCTTTCACATCCTATCAGTTCAGTTCAGGTCTCTCATGATCCCAGGCAGCAGTAGTTGTTATCACGTGAGTTCATTCATATATGTTTATCTCTTTGGGGATGGGGGGACAACTTCACTGTGGACTTAATTCTACTGGAGATGAGTGACCCCATTTTAAGACAACAGGATCACAAATTATTATCACATATCAGCAGGGCAGACAATAGCTACGACCTGGGGCTGAAAGCAGGTAACTCCATTTATTCTGTAAACATTGTCTTGATTATGGTGCCAGTTGCTGTGAGGGATTTCCTTTCCACCACCTGTTTTTCACAAGGTTTGAGTCTGAACTGCTAACATTCTACTGATTTCTGGGTGAAGGGACTGACTGCACCATCCTACCCTGTCAGAGCACTTGCCCCAGTACTTCCACTTTAAGAGTTTTCCACCTTGTCCAGAACTACAGTCCATTAATCCCCTCATTTTCTCTCTTAAGAGAATAAACAGGCCAGGCGCAGTGGCTCACGCCTGTAATCCCAGCACTTTGGGAGGCTGAGGCGGGTGGATCATCTGAGGTCAGGAGTTCGAGACCAGCTTCGCCTACATAGTGAAATCTCGTCTCCACTAAAAAAAAAAATCACAAAAATTAGCCGGGCGTGGTGGCAGGCGCCTGTAATCCCAGCTACTCGGGAGGCTGAGGCAGGAGAATCCCTTGAACCCAGGAGGCAGAGGTTGCAGTGAGCCAAGACTGTGCCACAGCACTCCAGCCTGGGTGACAGAGTGAGACTCCCTCTCAAAAAAAAAAAAAAGAAAAAAAAGAGAGAGAAAATAAACAACACATCTCAAGTACACACCCACATCCCTCTTATCCCAAATACCAAACACACAAAAATCCAATCTGTCTCCTTCTACCTAAGCAATTTTAGATAGTCACTGTCTCATAATTACCTTAAGCTCCCTGACTTGCTGCTCATCCTTTCTCTGGCAAAATCTCATCCTTGGATGAGCCCGACTTTGTGTTTGCTCAATGACACCACTCACCTGAACCAGAAAAAATATCAAAAAGTGGTCAGAGATATCATCATAAATTCAAATTACTTACACAAAAAATTGGCCCTAAATGTTTCCAGAAATCAATAAAAGTTTTGTTTCTCCAATGACATCATTTCTTCAGAAACCCAATGTGTATAACCTATTTTTTCTATGTTCTTCTAACATTTATTCAACTTCTCTCATCTGATATCTTGCCAAATCATTCAAAGAGAAAATATATCCCATTAGGCAAGAGCCCACCATATTCCCATCACCTGAGAAAATCATATGCACAGGATGCACCCACCTCACCTTTCTCTGCCTCATCATGTCAGAAAAAGTACCCCACCTTTTGTCACAAGGCAAACCTGAGATAAAAGATTTAGATGGCCTGTAATTCCAGCACTTGGGGAGACCAATGCAGGCAGATTATTTGAGTCTAAGAGTTCAAAAGAAGCCTAAGCAACTTAGGGAAACTGCATCTCTCAAACAAATACAAACCATTAGCCTAGCATGGTGGTGTGGTGGCACATGCCTGTAGTCCCAGCTACTCAGGGTGGGGAGCACTGAGGTGGGAGGATCACCTGAGCTGGAAGGTTGTGGCTGCAGTGAGCCGTGATCACGTCACTGCACTCCAGCCACGGTAACAGATATTTTTAAAAGGATCTTCTCTGTTAAAAATAATCAAATAAACAGGTGGCCATGAGGCTGAGGTGGCTGCCGTGCACTCAATTCCTCCTTAAATAAACCAAAACTTGACTCAGTGTAAATAATAAAAGGAAATGTAAGAACCAATCAGAAACCACCAACTAACATCTAACTAGAGACCTTCCACTGTAATGTTCCAAATGAGGCCACTGCTCCACTTTACCCAATCAAGTATTTTCTTTTTCTTCCACATTCACCATATAAAATTCTTCCCCCACCCTCCCTAAGCCTCTCTGTGGGACCTCTGAGCTGCTTGCAGTCTGGGGCTGCCTAGTTTATACATTTCTGAATGCTCAAATATATTTTCTAATGTTTCAAAGTGGCTCTGGTGTAGGAGGTTGTTGGTGGAGTGACCCGAGAGTATACAGGAATTGAGGGCATATGAGATCTCTGGACTCTGCACTCCATTTTGCTGTACACTCAAAACTACTCTAAAATAATAATATATCTTTAAAAATCTATAACTAGCACGTAGCCCTTTTCAAGCCTCCAACTGGTTGGAGCCAGTTCGATTAAAGCTCAGAAGAAAAACTGGTTAATAAGCTAGTTCTGACCCAACTGGCAAGAAGCGGCAGGAAAGACCCAGGCCAGGGGAGCATATTGCACATGCATGCACCAGGAAACTGGAGGAAGCTTGGAGGCCCTTTAGCCTGGTCCTGAGCCCGCTGAAACTGCAGTTACAGCACAGATGCCTGGGGCACCAATCTGAATCTGCCAACATCCAAGGCCACATGAACACAAATGCGCAGTCTCCTCTGCGATCGGTAGCTAAGGATGTTAGGCCATGATTGGACTAGGATGGGAGATGAACTGAGAACTATGGATTCTGTAGGTTGTTGTTGTCTCTTCCCACCCCAAGCAACAAGTGATGAACACACACACACACACACACACACACACACACACACACACACACACATCCCGTAGTGACTAACAGGATCTCCCTCCAGGGGATTTGCAGAAAGGGGAGCAGAAAACATCCCAGGGGCCTTTCACAGCTACTTCCTTGAGCCCCCTTTCAGACTGCTGTCTAGACCTGTCGCAGCCCAAACATCACCACCCTGATATGCAGAAGCTGGCATCCTTACCTGAAATTCAACACCAAGAAATGATCTCTTCTACTCAACACTGATAGAAATACCTCTAAGCAATGTCCTCATTGGCAGGGGTGGAGTGGGGGAGTTTCTTAAAAAGTGAGGCCTCTGCCTACCACCTAGAGAACCTGGAAATTTCCATCTGTGCCACAAAGTCCAAATCACTGGCCACTGCCCCAGTGTATGGCAGATTAGAACATCTCTCCATTAGATCTGGGTTTCTATTCCATTGAGTGAAATGGCTTTTCTATTACAGGAACAGAATAAGGGATCAAAAGGGTCTTACAACTGAACTCCAGTGTACAGTCTGCACAGACACTAGGCTTGTGCAAATATGACACAGCGAGGCCCCAGGACCCTTAAGCCAGCTGAATGTACTGAGTTTCAGGAAACAGTGAGATACGTTCAGCAAAACAGTGGGCTTCATGCTGAAAGAAGTCATTCCAAGTAAACACACATCTCACACACACACACACACACACACACACACACACCCGCAGACACCCTAGTGGCCAATAGGTCCTCTCACCAAAAACCTGTGATCAGGAGAGCAGAAAGCCTCCCAGGGGTCCATCACTGCCCTTTCTGGAGCCCCTTATCAGATGGCCAGCCCCAGGACAGCACTGTCTGATCCTGGTCCAGTCCAAACCACCATCACCCTGTGATGTGGGAGCTAGCCACTTCACCAGAACCTCTGTGTCAGAAAAATTTCTCTTCCTTTTAAAATGATGAGGGGGAACCTTCAGACAGTGTCTGATTAGGGTGGGTGGAGAGAGGGGTTTCCTAGAAAGTCAGGCAGGGCAGGGCTGAAGCCCTCTGGGTTAACTGAGTGCTTTTGATATGAAGGCAGGTAAGACTGGACAGGTGGGGGTGTTAGTGAGGGGATGGTGTAGGGTGTGCTGAAGAACTCCACTTGGGCTCTCCACACCAGGGAAAATGACCATAAAACATCCCATCTTCACTGCTCAGAGAAGGCTAGATCTGCTGTGAGCTAGAAAGCCATGTGGGGGCAGCTGATGAGTCATCAAATGGGAGAAATCTGAGAGCCATGTGTTCCACAGGCCTCTGGTCCTTGTTCAGGCAGCAGGGCACTGTGACATGTGGCTCCTTGGCCCCTTCCAGCCACCACCTTGATTGCATGCTGCAGGGAAAGAGACTGAAGACCAAGAATGGGGTCTTGCTCACCATGGGATGATGGCTCAGTACAGAGCTGAGCTATGTATGGCCCAAGAGGCAGAACGTGGGGATGACCCAGGCTGAGCTGGGGGATCCAACTGAACATGCACTTGCTAAGAAGCTGTGGGCTATGATGCCTTGGGACCCCAGTCTGGGTCTAGAATTGTAGCAAAACAGGCTACTGGTAAAAGTTCTTGAGAAGCCAACTCACTTTTGCTGTCATCCATGGGCAAACAAACCAAGCCCCACCACTTCCCACTCCCTCTGAAAGCCTCCTGCCCCTCTGATCGACCACACCACAATGGTGTCACTCTGTAAGGCACAGGTAGACAAGGCATCCAGCCATGAACACTCCAGGGCGCACACATGTCCAGAATACACTGGTTCTTGTTGAGACTCCACTCTTCCAACTCAGACAGAAGCTCCCCAATCTCCTCAGCCACTCCCAACAACTGGAGGTCTGAAAACTTTCATGCATGCCGCTATGGTCTAAACCACTCGTGGCGGTTTTCATTTTCATTTTCCTGATAATCAGTGATGCTGAGCACCTTTCCATATGCCTTTTCACCAACTGGATGCCTTCTATGGCTAAATGTCTATTCAAATCCATTGCCCATTTACAAATCTGCTTTTTTGTGGGCTTCTTGATGTTTTTCTCTTTTTTTTTCCTATTTATTTATACAAGTTCCTTAGGTATTTTGGATATTTTTTAAAATCATTTTCAATTCCACTGCCCAGTTATAATTTTTTTTTTTTTTTTTTTTTTTTTGAGACGGAGTTTTGCTGTTATTGCCCAGGCTAGAGTGCAATGGTGCGATCTTGGCTCACAGCAACCTCCACCTCCCAGAGTCAAGCAATTCTCCTGCCTCAGCCTCCTGAGTAGCTGGGATTACAGGCATGTGCCACCATGCCCAGCTAATTTTTGTATTTTTAGTAGAGATGGGTTTTTTCCATGTTGGTCAGGCTGGTCTCAAACTCCCGGTCTCAGGTGATCCATCCACCTCGGCCTCCCAAAGTGCTGGGATTACAGGCGTGAGCCACTGTGCCCGGCCAATTATCCCTTTTTGTGTTTTTTTGGGGGGTTGGGGGAAGAACAGAGTCTCACTCTGTCATCTAGGCTGGAGTGCACTGGTATGATCTCGGCTCACTGCAGCCTCCGCCTCCCAGGTTCCAGCGATTCTCCGGACTCAGTCTCCCGGGTAGCTAAGATCATGGGCGCGCAACACATGCCCAGCTAATTTTTGTATTTTTAGTAGAGACAGGGTTTCACCATGTTGGCCAGGTTGTTCTCAAACTCCTGACCTCAGGTGATCCGCCCACCTCGGTCTCCCAAAGTGTTGGGATTACAGGCGGGAGCCACCACTCCCGACCCCATTTTGTGTTTTAACATCAGTCAACACTCCTATTTTAAAATAATAACAATGAATGGCGGTACCTTAGAACAAAGGAATTATAGATCTTTCTCTTGTCTTAGTGCAGACATTTTGTCTATAAAATGTTATTCACAGATGAACTCATGAGAACATTACTGTGAATTTTAAATCCATATACAAGTGTATGCTCATTCATGAATATTTCAATAAAATAAAACTAATAGCAAAAAAGAATTCCAGAGTTGAAGCAGTTTCAGGAAAAAGGAGTTGGCAGTATGAAGTAAAATAGCAAAAAAAATTTTTTTTTAAATGGGTATATTTGTGTCTACAACTTTTTTTTAATTATAGCATTAGACAATGTGTATATAGATACGTATATAAAGCAATGGAAGTGGCATTGTTTTCATACTAGTCTAGAATATTAAAAAATATGTAATATGTGATCAGCAAAATAATGGCCCCCCAAAGATGTCCACAGATTCCTAGAACCTTACATGAAAACGGTACATCATGCATGTGATTCAGGTAAAGACCTTGACATGAGGAGACTACCCTGGTGCTATGGAATGAACGTTGTGTTCCGTCACTGTTCATGTGTTAAAATCCTAACCCTCAAGGTGATGGCATTAGGAGGTTAAGCCTTACGGGAGACTCTGCCCTCATGACTGGGATTAGCACCTTATTAAAGGCACAAGGGAGCTTGTTTGTTCCTCTCACCATGCGAAGACACAGCAAGAAGGAAGCCTCTATGAGAAAGCAGGCCTTCACCAGACACCAAGACTGCCGGCACCTTGATCTTGCACTTCTCAGCCTCCAGGACTGTGAGAAACAAAGTTCTGTTATTTATAAGCTACCTGGTCTAATGCATTTCCTTGTAGCAGCCTGTATGGATTAGGACAGTGGGCTCATGTGGATGATGACGGTGTCTCCATTCAGGACTAAGTAAGCACATGAGTCCTTAACAGTGGAAGAGAAGGGGGAAGGAAAGAGCCACAGAGACATGTGGCCATAGAAGAAGGGCCCATGGGATGCAAGGTTGCTAATGGTGAGAGTGGAGAAGAGCCCAAAGCCAAAAAATGCAGGCAGACTCCAGAATGTGGAAAAGGCGAGAAAAAAGATCCCCTAGAGCCTCTAGAGATGAAGGTAGCCTTTCCACCACCTAGATTTTAGCCCAGTGAGATCCACATCACACTCTGACATACGGGAGTGTAATAAATTTGTTTTATGCCCTGACATACTGGTAGTTTGTTGTAGCAGCAATGGACTAGTAATATATAAATATATATATACACACACACACATAAACACTACCCCCCCCACCACACACACAACATAACTATCTATATATATCCCGCCCTTCAAAACTGAATCAGATAAACTACACATTAGCATTAACTTAGCTGGGTGTGGTGGCACATGCCTGTAGTCCCAGCTACACAGGACGCTGAGAGGGAGGATCACTTGAGCCCAGGAGTTTAAGATCAGCCTGGGCAAACACACTGAGGCCACATTTCAAAAACAAACAAACAAAAAACACAACAAATATTTGATTAAGCTCATTTCCCAAATTTGAAGAGGAAACAATTATTAGATAAAGAGGAGAAAAGAGAAAGGTAGAGCTGCTGACTTCTGTGGTGGAAGCACAGGCACAGGCCCAAACATACTCCTGTCCTCCTGGCTTTCCTGTCCCTTCTCATAAGGGACACAGGAACCTCTCAAACTGAACCATGGATCACAGAACCATACTCAGAACGCAATACAGTTTTGTCTACAATTTTTTATATATCTGTGTCCCTGTCTCTGCCTCCCATTCCCAACTCCCTTACTCTTGTTAGAAAAAAATGGCTATTATCAAATATGAGTACATCCTTATATACTAATGCCAACTGATCACCAGCTGGTTTTCTTCTTTTACAAAGTCATAAATATTTAGGCTTTAACACATCTTCCAAGCAATAGAATGTTATTTTCCAGTTCATTAACACAAATTCTATATCTAAAATGAAGACTTCACAAGTTGATTTAAATAACATATTAACGAAAATCGACTGGCCATGGTTCAAACTGACATTTTAATTAAATGTGATGATAGGTTGAGTAACCTAGCAGTACTCTAAAATGACTTTTGGTTATGGCTTTTTCCATATTATGCTTAGGTTGAGGCATCCCTAAATGATTCAATTGTAATTCCCCTTCTTAAACATGAGATTTATCTTTACAAAATAATTTATTTTCTTAAAATTACAAGTTAATTCTATAGTTCATGCATACATAATCTCAGTAGATATCAGCTGTATGTGTACACACATACATATAGGTATTTGTATATACACACATTACATAATTTAAAAAAAACTTATTAGCAGGGTACAACCACGAAGACAAAGAGGCTTTGTGTAATGTGATGGAAACACAACTGCAGGACAAACAACAGGCTGCTGTGAGGGCTGTATTTACCCTTTCTGATGTAAGACTTGGAAAAACATGGATACTGGATATCTAATCCCCATAACAGAAAATTTAGGGTGCAGAAAACTTCCCACAATTTTTACAGACAATGTCAATAGAAAGGCATTCAATGCAGGGAATACACAGTGTGACAGTATACAAAAATAAGCAGGTTGATGGTTTAGATTTATGAGACAAGAGAAAGAAATAGTAGATGATGTCATAATTCTCCTTTTATGGAGTTATGAAAATTCTTCATTTTATATAAGGTCAGGTGCTTTCAAATGTCAATGAGAAAAATATTTAAAGGAAGAATCAAATCTAAGACGTAGAGAGATCTTTATAAATGTGAACTTCAGGCCAGGCACGGTGGCTCATACCTGTAATCCCAGCATTTTGGGAGGCCTAGGTGGGCCAATCACGAGGTCAGGGGATCAAGACCATCCTGGCCCACATGGCGAAACCCCGTATCTACTAAAATACAAAAAATCAGCCAGGAGTGGTGACGTGTGCCTGTAGTCCCAGCTACTCAGGAGGCTGAGGCAGGAGAATCACTTGAACCCGGGAGGCAGAGGTTGCAGTGAGCCGAGATAGCACTACTGCACTCCAGTCTGGTGACAGAGCAAGACTCCATCTCAAAAAAAAACAACAACAACTTTTTTTCATGCTGAGAAGATATAATCATCAACACATTCTTGAGCACAACTATGCACACAGGCACTTCCGCATTCACAAGCCATGCTGTGTGCACACACTGATGCCCCTAGATTCCTTTTTTGAAGAGATGGTCTCTTGGTGTGTCACCCAGGCTGGAGAGCAGTGTTAGGATCATAGCTCACTGCAGCCTCAAACTCCTGGGTTCAAGTGATCCTCCTACCTCAGGCTCCTGAGTAGCCTGAACTATAGGAATGAGCCACCATGCCCAGCCAATGTTTTCATTTTTTTGTAGAGATGAAATCTTGCTATGTTGCCCAGGCGGGTCTTGAACTCTTGGCCTCAAGGAATCCTCCTGCCTTGCCCTCCCAACATGCTGAGATTACAGGTGTGAACCATTGTGCCCAGCCACCGGATTCTTTATTAAGAAGAAAACTTGTTTGCTGACATGTAGGCAATGAATTGATGAATAGTAGTTCATAAATTACTAATTTACAAGTCAATATAAATGAGTTGAGTAAACACAAAATAACAGCATAAATTAATAAACAGTTTACGACCTCAAGTTTCTTTTTTTCCTTTAAAACATTGCTCTGACAGAGACTACTACTTGTCCATTCCATGGAAAAGTCAGAGGTGGTTAAAATGTCAGAGGTACACTTATTAACACCTTGCTGCCTTTTGTGTAGCTTCCTCTCAGTACTTCACCAGTTGGGATTGACACACCTCTCCAGCTGGGTTCAGGAGCCAGACAGGAGCACACAGAACAGGGAATCCAAAGCCATCTCTGACACCAAAAGCAATGAAAACAAAAATAACCAAACATATTATCAAGAAATGAACAAGAGATCGATATCAAGTACAGCAAAAAGAGAAGAAATCACTTAATCTGCCAGGCTTTCATTCTGACAAAATAATTTACAACACGCATGTCTCTATCTGACATGTGTGAATAGAAAAAGAAGAGGTGACAATAGAGTAGAGGATTCGTCTTCCAATTGTCTCTGATCTATCCAACCTTTGTTACACATCAGAGAGCTCTCCAATTTATAAATAAACAACAGAGATATGTGGCAACCAGGACACAGAGACATACTGAGAGTACTGCTCAGCTCTCTGCCTAGGCCTGATTCTGATGATCCCTGACAATGAGCACTGTGAAATTTACAGCAAATCAGTACACATACACACAAACACACAAAAGAGATACTTCATGGGCAAAAAGCATCAAAGATATAAAATAAAATGCCTGAAAGACCATAAAACAACTTCTGATGAAATGCTGTTTTCATTTTGCAGTAGTAAAATATTCACCACCAAATCTACAATTAGCTTAAAAATTACAATAAGTACAGTACTTTTGGATCCCATCTCCAATTCACACCTTATCAACATGTAATAATCACACTGCATCTACAACAAAGCTGGATGGACTTTATGTGCTGAATACAACTTGTACACTAAGAAGGAAATTTTTTGAAATAATGAGAATACAAAATTTGTATGCCATGCTCTACTTCACAAGTTAAAAGAAAATACAATCATTTCTATTTTTAAAATGCATTGAAATAAAATACAGAAAAGAGTATTCTAATACCAGTTAACATTAAGAGAATATATCTCTAAACCAAAGATCTTGGATCTTCTAGAAAGACAAAATCAGCTGGTATATATTTGGATAAGAAAAAAAAATTAAGAGATCAAGAAAGGAGAGAAGACGTTCGCACAGAATCATCTCCAAAAATGGCTTTCTGACGCATTCGACCAGTTTTCAAGTCTATTTGTTTTTCCTCCTTTGGCATCAACAGCCTATATCACCAAGGATATGCAAAATAATTCAATTTGTACATTAATCAGCTAATCTAGAACTGGAAATATAGTCAATGAAAATACAAAAGAAACAGAAAATGTCAATGAATTGCTTAAGATGTTTAAGATGACATAGCGTAGGGAAAAAATGATCTGATAAACACCGGAAGAGTTAATAAGGAAACTGAGGCATGGTTCCCTAACACCACACTTCAAAAGAACTTATAGAGAGAATAAAGGAATAACCCTTAAAAAAAAAAAATCTAATTTTAGAAAAAAATTGCTCAAAAGGGAAGTTAGGGTTTTATAGATCTTCTGGAAAGCTGATTAATTTCTAAGCTAAAAACGCATGATCCTTAAGAGAAATGGCTGAGTCCAGGCCCAAGGCAGGAAGAGGACAAAATGAGCCTGGATCCTCTGGTTCTGTCAGAAAGTAAGAAATGCTCAAAGACTAACAGAGACAGTTGAAGGGACACAGGAGACAGGCCGAAGGCTCCCGCAGCCGAATCTGGGACAGCATAGGCATCAGAAAGTACAATGACAGTGATGGAAAATAACCCATGGAATAAAACGCAAGTGCATTAGTCAGCCGTGATGCTGAAACAAAGGGGAGAAGAGAAAGCTCTTTGTTAAAAATGCCAGGTAACAAACTTAGAAGGAATGACAGAGGAATAACATCCATTTTGAGTCAACAGTGCCATAACTGATAGAGAAGATTATCAGGGGGCTAAAATCACTGGATGAAAGAAAACTATATGAAGCTTTTTAACGTAGCACAATAGATAAAAGTATGAAAACATAAATTAGAAAAAACTAAAAATCATACCATAAGGGATGGATAAGTTAGAATACAGGAATAACAGGCCAGGCATAGTGGCTCACATATGTAATCCCAGGATTTTGGGAGGCCAAGTCGGGAGGATTGCTTGAGCCCAGGAGTTCGAGACCAGCCTAGGCAACATAGTGAGAACTCGTCCCTAGAACAGAACAAAAAAAATTAGCCGGGAGTGGTGGTGCACTCCTGTAGTCCTAGCTACTTGCGGGGCTGAAGCAGGAGGATCACTTGAGCCTGGGAGTTCAAGGCTGCAGTGAGCCAAGATCACACCACTGCACTCCAGCCTGGGAGACAAAGTGAGACCTTATCTCAAAACAAAAACAAAAACAAAAACAAAAACAAAGAAGCCACAATAACAAAAAAACACTGGTAACAATAAAATCATGATTACATAAAGACTGTATAGAAAAAAAATCCTCAGAATATAGAAATAAAATTATGTATTTTACCTGTAGCTATATTAGAAGAGAGTATTCTTGTAGACAAGGATGACTAGAAGGATATGCAAAAATGAAAACAGCTAATAACACTCATTACGTCAGGCACTGTGGTAGGTAGTTTATGCACATTGTAACAAATTATATACTACATTATCTCAAGATTTTCAGATAAATTTTACTGGGAGTCATAAATCAATACAACAAAATCAATGTTTTGCAAACATCCACTAAGCATAAAGGTATACAAATTCCCAACCCAGACTGAAAAATAATTCACATAAGCCACACATTAGTGGAAACCTACCCATGGGAGATAATACAACATAATCTAAATAAAACTTTCAGAGACAAGGCATGTGGCTTCTGGACAGCCACAAACTCCCTGACTCTGCTCTAGTGTTTTGGCCATCAAAAGAAAGCCAAGTGGCCTCAGGTCTCTGAAAAACCAAAAAAGCAACCTATGGAAGATGGCGTGGTATTTGAGGAATATTTGAAGTCTGTTGAAAAATGCATCCTGTATTTTTTTTCAAGATAAGACTCCCTTGTAATGTCAGGTAAGTGAAGAGCCCTCAGAGACACATGCACACACAAAGAAAAACAAAACGACATAGAATGAATCCCACCAAAATGTGTTATGATGGCAGAATTATGGGTGATACGATCTTCTGTAATATATCTTTTTATTAAAAATAGAAAAAAAGCAGACTTACCCTTGATTATCTATAGCCTCTGACCCAAGTGGTTTGGAATTGGAAAGCAGCGTCACTCGACTTGAAGCCATCTTGGCATCAATGGTGGAGTAGGTGGAGATGAGACTCTGGACCAGCTCATGGGTGAGCCCCACCTTGTCCTATCAAGGCCACCAAGAAAGGGCACGTGAGGAAAGCACAAAGATCCTGGAGAGACACTGGTTTCACTCAGTTTCTCAAAATTATCTTAGACACATTTCCTGAGATCTTTTCTTAATGCCACAAACACCAGAGAAGAAAATCCTTATAACAAAGCTTGAAATGGATCCCCATCTCCATTAAACTTGTCCAAAGCTCAGTGAGTATATAACCTGATAACCTAAACACCTAGCTAGAAAAACCTCAGTTCCAGTGCTACAACAGTGCTAGCTTTTCTAACATTTTTAAATAACCCTGCTTTTAACCCAATAAAATTCAACTACAGAACTAAGAAATAAATATTGGAAATCCACTTTAAAATAATGAGGAGACCACTGTGATTGAGAAAAAGAAAAAGACAAACGAGAGCTGGAAAGCACACTGATTTTGTAGAAACAGAAATAAGCCGTGCAGGTGCCACACTGGCAGCAGTGCCCGCGCTGGGGCCACGGATCAAGGAGGCATGGAGGACAGGACTCTTCTGCTTGGTACAATGAAAAAATGGTATTCTTTTTATTCTACATATTGACAATATGCATTTGGGCCTTTATTATAAGTACAAGAGAAAAATCTTCAATAAATAAAAGCTGAGTACATTACTTTTTTTGATTAAAAAATAGATTAGGAAAGAATAATGAGAGTTCAGAGCAAAGACTCCTGCCTCACTGATGCCTGAAAACCGTGGCTGCCACCAAGGTCAACACAGACAGCGTCTTTGTCATACAGCACACCCTCAACTCCAGAAACAGGCACATAAACCAGCTGCTCCTTCTTATTTAAACAGCACTTCTTTTGTTATTCAGGAAGAACACAAGGGTCTGGGAGGAAACCGATGTCACTCATGGCAAAATGTTCTACCCCTGGAAGACGGGACCCAAAAAGCCAGCTTCAACTGACAAGAAGTCAGTAAGTATCTACTGTTGACTGGGGGGTTAAAAACGATCCACAGTCCAAGGGCTTAACCCATGACCCTAAAGAAGGGCATTGTGCCACACTGGAACAGTGGCCCTCTAGCTACAAGAGGTCAGAGAAGAGGGATTCGGTAACACCTTTGCAGGCCTACACATAGCTGGCTTACTTTTAAAACCTCCAGCAAGGCCATCTTCCCTTGTTTGGTCATTTTTCATTTTTCCTGAGAAATGAAGCCATCCCAAGAATCCTATGTGCAATTCTAGTATGTTCTACAACAAGAGAATACCTGGCATGTGAATTTGGCTTTTATCTTTGAAGTGTGCTCCTCTTAAATAACCATAAAGTGACACCTGCCGGTCACATTTGATGTTTGTTTGGATATCCTCCGGGTTTGTCAAATCTTCCATCCTAGAAAAATAAACTCAATCGTACAGCAGAAATGAATGCCAAAGTTCCTATACCTCCTTTCATGTGTCAATGACTCATCACACTCTTGTCCACTAAGCACATCACTTAGGAACTAGAAAATGCAGAAATAAGGAAGCACCGTTCACCATCCAGCAGAGGAAAAGGGGCAGGCACACAACTGTGTCTCTAGGCTGAAAGTGACATTCATTCCATAAGACACCAGATGGGAGACGACGTCCACCTGGGGTCAGGGAAGAGTGAAGAACATATGCAGAAAATCCGTTTCTGGAAGAGGGTGAGCCTGTGCTCTGGGATTTGTACTGTGGCTTGGATTCTGGCAGGTGGAAAAGGGGTATTCCAGGCTGAGAAAATCACAGCACAAAGAAGAGCACAAAGGAAGGAAACTGAAGGCACGCACGAAGGACTCCAGCACCTGGGCACGAAGGCAGCATCACTGAAAACCGAGGCTGAACGTAGGATGGGGCCACATCCTGTAGCCTTAAATGCTTTCAAGTCCTCCCATTTTCCTAAACATCTCATAATTAATTTACTCCCAAAGGCACAGCATCTTTGAGCAATGATATAAGTAGACATTTTCCATCAACTGCACTTCTACCCCCACTATTCAAATAGGCACAAAATAAATCCTATCACTGTTCTTTTTCTAGCCTTTTTAGCTTTGAAATACATGGCCCAGGAAGAAAAAGTTTACAATCACTTTTTACCTGTCTGCCAGGATATAAGGGTGAAAAGTTTGCCATGAGAGGCCTAAACTTCATAACTGTAATAAAATGGCCCAGATTGTGGATTTCTTGGTTTTGATATTCTCCATGCACCATTCCAGAAAGGTAGAACAGTTTGGCAACCTAAACATTAAAGGAAAATTAAAAATTAAATTTCAATTAAATTCTCGTCAATACTGCAACAAAATAAAAGCTCTAAACAAGAAGCAATCCTAAGAAGGGAGACTTCCAGCAAAGCCACTGTCCTGAGGCTTCCAGAGCCTTGCTGGATTCTTTCAGGACTTATTAGAACCACACAGAGGCAGACTGCTCTGCAACCAAGCCGGTGCATCTGTCTAAGTATGGTGAGGAGAGGGAGGTGAGGCCTCTGAGCACAGAAAGGGTTCTGTGGCCGATGGACCACAGCAGTATGGAAAGGAAGGGGCAGTGCCTGGTCCTGTAACTGGGAGAAACTTCTGATGTACTCTATTAAGTCCCGACTCCAAAACACCCAGACATTGCCTGGTGCAGCAGGTACGGAGACAAATGAGATACACCAAGAGGCCCAGAATAACCACTCTCTTGAGGGACACCTTCCAGAGACTGGGAACACATACACAAAGGGAATTCAGGAGGCAATTCCTAGAGAGATGTTTAGTAATGTCTCTTCAGTCTTTTTGTTTGTTTGTTTGTTTGTTTGTTTGTTTGAGATGGAGTCTCACTCTGTCACCCAGGCTGGAGTGCAGTGGTGCACTCTCAGCTCACTCCACCCTCTGCCTCCCAGCTTTGAGCAATTCTCACGTCTCAGCCTCCCTAGTAGCTGGGATTACAGGTGCATGCCACCACACCCGACTAATTTTTGCCTTTTGAGTAGAGACAGGGTTTGGCCATATTGCCCTGAGCTCGAAACTCCTGGCCTCAAGTGATCCACCTGACTCTGCCTCCCAAAGTGCTGGGATTACAGGCATGAGCCACTGTGCCTGGCCTCTTTAGTCTGGTTTTAAAGGATTATACTGTTAGTGTCTAACAATTATTTCTCTTCCTACCTGGTAAACTTCTGTCCAGAACCTGTGTTTTAATCGCTTCTTTGTCTTCTTCAGTTGCTTGTTATGCTTGAAGGAGTCGAGGTGGGTGAGAACTCCCAGAATTTTAGGAAAGCCATGTGCTTGACAGATGTTTAGAAACTCAAACATTTCCATTTCAAACCCAAAGCTGGCATCTATAAGCATCAGTACCTACAAGCACAACACATTATTTCTCGAAGAAACTACCAAAACAGACCACCTACACTAGGGGTTGGCAACTGGCCCACGGGCCAAATCCAGCCCATCACCTGTGTTTGTAACTAAAGTTTTATTGGAACATAGCCACATTAATTCCTTTACATATTGTCTATGGCCGCCTGTGCACTACAACTGCAGAGCTAAGTAGCTGCAGAAGATATGATCCACAAAGCTGAAAATATTCACTATCTGGCCCTCGACAGAAAAGTCCCACTCCAGACTAAATCAAATGACTACACAGGCATCACCCAGACAGAGAAACCACCACCCTCTGACTTGCTCTAAAAGGCAACCATAAGACAAGGCCACTAGGATATAAACATCCATTTTAAGAATTCTAATGCATGAGAAGTAACTCAGAAAAGGCTGGGTCTAACCTGGCCCTTACCTAAGAAATCCTAATTTAAAGAAATGAAGTTTTCTGTAATGTATTTTTAAGCCAAATAACAGGTCTCTGACATCCAAAGAATGGGAAGAAAGTGATAATCAATGAAATATATTAAATATGTACAGAAAACCAACCTCTTCTTTCAATCTCCTCACAGAAAAAAAAAAAAAATCTGTTTTTTTTGCTGGGAAGTATGCAATGGAAACCTCTATCTTGTATGTTAATTTGTGTAACTCAATTGCTCAGAAATATTTGAAATAGCTACCAGTTTAGAATTAAGTAAAAAAACAGAAAGATTATGATGAATGGTAGTCTATAAGAAAATATAAGCAGATAAGACCAATTTTTTTTTTCTTTTTTGAGACAGAGTCTCGCTCTGTTGCCCAGGCTGGAGTGCAGTGGCTAGATCTCGGCTCAGCGCAAGCTCCGCCCCCCGGATTCATGCCATTCTTCTGCCTCAGCCTCCTGAGTAGCTGGGACTACAGGCGCCCACCACCACGCCCGGCTATTTTTTTTGTATTTTTTTAGTAGAGACAGGGTTTCACAGTGTTCACCAGGATGGTCTCGATCTCCTGACCCCGTGATCTGCCTGCCTTGGCCTCCGAAGTGCTGGGATTACAGGCGTGAGCCACCGCACCTGGCCAAGACCAATTTTTAAAATTTAAGACACTTCAAAGATGCAAAATAATTTCAGAACTGATTCCTGGAAACTTGTAATTTTAATACTAAAGATAGTTCTGTTTTTATCTTTCCATGGATAACTAAAAATAACACAAAATGGAAACAGAAATGCCCATCCTTGATTAAACTAGGAAACATTCAAAACCCAAAACCACAGAATATATGAAGTTGGGCTTGTAGGAAAGCACAGCTGCCACTGCAGACCAAGGCAGCAAGCAGAGCTCTCCAGCAACACTGGACCAGCTCAAAGAACAGGTGGAATATCCTCACACCACATCTGATGCCAGAGTGCCAAGGGACAAGCAGCTGGTTGTAGGGTCAGGAATAAAAGGGAGCAAACAGTCCCTCAGCTGCCAATCTTTGCCATCTAAGCCAGTGTCACTCCCCTAATCCACACACGCACGTACACACCCAAATCCACGTACTGTGTGTGCCTCTGCTGTACTCAGGAGGCTTTGACAACCCAGAGCAGAGCAATCAACATAAGCTAGACTAAATAAATTATGGTGCATCCACAGAATGGAATGTTATATTAAAAAGAAGGAGGCAGAGCTACAGTACTTACTGATTATATACCTTCAAGTATATTACATGAAAAGAGCAAAGCATAGAACAGTGTATAAAATAAGCTACCGTTTGTGTTTTTAAAGGGTGGCATGTGTGTTTATATGTATCTGGAAGGATATACATATATATAAAGGTCTGCAGGGACCTGAGAGACCAGAGGTTACAGCAAGGAAAGAGAAAATGCGCATTGTGTGTACCGTGCATTACAGTTAGAGTGCTTTACCAAATGTGTGTGCTCCTTTTGAAAATCTTAAGATTTACATAGGCATCTCTCTCAATGATGGTTAAGAGGCTGGGAAGGGGAGCAGGGAGGGAGGGACAAAGAGGGAAAGGTTAACAGGTACAAAAACACAGTTAGATAGAATAAATTCTAGTGTCCAACAGCACAATAGGGTGACTATAATTTATTATATAATTCAGAATAACTAAAAGAATGAAATTAAAATGTTCCTAACACAAACAAATGATAAATGTTTGAAGTGACGGATCTCTGAATTACCCTGATTTGATCATCACACATTGTATGCTTCTATCAAAATACTACATGTACCCCATAAATATGTACAACTATTATGTATCCATAATAACTAAAAATAAAAAAATGTAAATGCATCTCTTAATATGTATGTGTTTAAAATTAGAAACTTGCTACATTTTAAATAAAAGAGAAACAAATGACTTCTATGAACTATTCAATCATTTCAAGTATACAAGTTTAGTAATCTTTACACAACTTTACATTAATTACACTTATTTTTACTAATAGTAGCATTACATGTTCAAAATTTGAATGTTATTTAGTTTTCTGACATTACAATGGCACAACTTTAAAATCTGTATTACTTTTTCCTTTATATTTTAGGAGTCTTCCTAGGCCAAAGTATAAAATCTGTAGCTCTAGCAAAAACTAAATAAAAATGAAAAAAACAAGGTATCTGTCACCCTACACCTCCTAATCAATATGGCTTATTTTTTTGCTAATTTTTTTTTTTTTTTTTGAGACAGAATTTCACTCTTGTTGCCCAGGCTAGAGTGCAATGGCACGATCTCGCCTCACCGCAACCTCCATCTCCTGGGTTGAAGCGATTCTCCTGCCTCAGCCTCCTAAGTAACTGGGATTACAGGCATGCACCACCTCACCCGTCTAATTTTGTATTTTTAGTAGAGACGGGGTTTTTGCATGTTGGTCAGGCTGGTCTCGAACTCCCGACCTCAGGTGATTCACCCACTTCGGTCTCCCAAAGTGCTGGGATTACAGGCATGAGCCACTGTGTCTGGCCTTTTTTTTTTTTTTTTTTTTTTTTGCTAATGTAAAAGATCATAGAATATCAGAGATAGTGAACATTATCATTTCCATAAATGTACATTTTCCACACGCTGAGTACTATCTAAATTTTCTATTGATAAACTCTGACCACTTCTTCAGGCAATTCATGTACTTACTTTAGCATTATCATTAAGGATGAAGGTTCTAGAACCATCAGGAACAAGGGTCCCATCTTCACACAAGTTACTTAACTGCTGGGAGGCTCTATTTCATCTTATGTAAACTATAGATAATACCTACTCACCTCAAGGGTGTATCAAGGGTTTATGTAAGCTAAATTTGGATCCAGGAAGGATCCAAGAAGAAATGGTACTTACTATGATATATTTGTACATATATATGTATGAATGTTAATGAGCTCTTATTAGCTGTGTTCATTAAAGGTTTTCTCCATCCTGTGATCTGCTTTTAGATTTTGGAACACATTTCATTGTGCACATTCCATTTGTATTATTAATATGACAACATTTATTACTATTATTATTATCATCATCAATTCAATCACATCTACTATATCCCTGATAATGACCATGATCCTTTTAATAATCACAAAACTCTCTTCCCTTCATCACGGGGTAAATAACCTATCACAATGCTGTAAGTCTCCATCAGCACCCCAGGCTGCCCCTGCTCACTTACCAGATCTGCTACTTCAGCCAGATCAATCATCATGTTAATGTCACACCCACATTCAATAATGGTGAGTCTGCGCTTTTTACCTATAAGTGAAAAGATGAAAATTTTACTTTAAAAAGACCCTGAAAAAACTCTAACCATCAACTCTTAATTTTCATTTTTTAACTGCATCCAGTAAAACACCACATACGTTTACAGGAGTGTACCAGAAGTTCATTTTTATAGGCAAAAACTGGTAAAATAAATTCCATCCTGTTTTTCTTCCTGTGTTCTAAATTTAGATAATATCAAAAGCCTACCCAGATGAATAAAAGTGCTGAAAACAGGGAAAATTCTGACTAGACAGGCTCCACGATAACCATGATCTTGCTGTTCAGCTGCAGGCCAATGTCTTCACCTCTATCAAAATTTCCTGTATTCCCACTATCGCTAAAAACATCCTCAAACATAATGCAACAGAATATTTACAATGATAATTATTTCTAAATTAAGGTAATAAGAAAATGATCAAGAAAATATTGGCTGGGCACAGTGGCTCATGCCTGTAGTCCTGGCACCTTGGGAGACCAGGGCAGGTGGATCCCTTGAGCCCAGGAGTTTTGAGACCAGCCTGGGCCACATGGGGAAATCCCATCTCTACAAAAACATAAAAATTTAAAAAAAGGAAAAAAAAGAAAAATTAGCCAGGCATGGTGGCATACACTACTCACAGGAGGCTAAGGTAGGAGGATTGCTTGAGCCTGGGAGGTTAAGGCTGCAGTGAGCTGTAATCACACCACTGCATTCCAGCCTGTGCCACAGAGCAAGACTCTGTCTCAAAAAAAGGAAAATAAAATATGGATGCGCCAAAGATAAAGAAAAGCCTCAATCCAACTATATTACTGCAATAATAAGAGATTTCAGAGTGTACATTGCCATTCTACCACTGGATGTTTGTTTCATCTTCCCTCAAACTTGGAAAGGTCACCATCTCCCAAAGCAGACAAATTCTCATAGGAAAAAGAGAAAACGCGCACTTCCACCAGCATGTGGCTTCATAAGGGCAAGCATGTGCACCTGGCACATAGGAGGTACGTGCTGTCTGTTAAATGGTGTGTTCGCAGTGACCAGGCCTGTCAGGCCCTTCCAAGGAACATGCTTGGCAAAGCCATAGAGCAGTCAGGATAAGGTATGTATCACATCCTTATCTCTGGGAACTTATCCTTTTATGAAGTTATAGCTAACTTAGTAAAAGTAAGAGAGAGGTAACATGATATGACAATATTTAACATGTTCCACTCAAGAAAACAACAAACACACGCATGTCCCTCAGATGACAACAGCCACGCCAAGTCTGTGTCTGTGGCACCATCTCCTACCTGACACGATCGTCACAGGGCCTCTGATCTCGGTGAACTTCTGCCAGGTGAAGTTCCGAATGAGGCATTATATCAAAGTGCTCTTTCCAACTTTGGAGGCCCCGTCACCACTACCGGTATTGGTGGCAGCTCTAGTGGAGTTCCATCAACCACTGGAATATGATGCTTTTGTGTCTTCAAATCCAGAGTCCTATTTATTTAAAAAAGAAAAAAAAAGTAAACTCACTTTTAAAATAGAGTAAAAGGTATCAACCTTATAAGTAGACTTTTTTTTAGTATAATTACAGATATGAGTACTTTAGTATATTTTATAGAGAGTACAACAGACAATATAAAAATATAAGTAACTTGTCAATTATTAACTTCTGACCCCTATCCAAATCAATTGCTGTTCAATAAAGATGTAACAAGATGACTTCAATAGTATAGAGTTGAAAATTAAACACTCCTTAAATCTGACTGTTTTATGAGTGATTTTTATAGTTTTTTAAAAAACAAAAGGTAAATACTGAGGCAGCGCATCATAACAGATAAGAGCAGAGGTTCTGGAGTTAAATTTGGCTCTCCGACTTACTGGTTGTATGATTGGAGGTAACTTGTTTTCTTGACCTCAGTTTTCTTGTCCATAAAATGAGGGCAAGAATGATTCCTACTCTGGTAAGGCTGCTGGAAGGATTTAGTTGAATAACGTTTAAAGTACACTGCTAAGAATATCATAAGGACTCACTAAATAAAGCTATGTTAGTATTACATATTGTAATTTTTGTATTTTATATTACAACTTTGTAAAACATATCCAGAGGGAAAAAGCACACTTATCACCATAGAAACAGTTTAAAGTTTAGGAAGAATCAAATTCTATAAATTCTTGTATCTTGGGCAAGAAACACCAACCAGTGTGCAGATGCTGGAGGCAAGGCAGCTTCTATGGCAAGTCTTCTCACGTTTTAGTAAAAGTCACACAGCATGCATCTCCACGTCCTTTGGAGCTGGACTAGACTTGTGAATCCAAATGTCACCTGTGAGAGGCTCCTAACTATTTAAAAAGATTCAATGGAAGAACCATCAGACTGTAGCTAAACACACCTGTGAAAGGATCGAGACATCCACACAGCAGACTGAACTGCAAAAGCATTGGCATTTCTCTTCTGGGCATTTTCTTCGTCTCCTAGCTGGAGATCCTGCAGATGCCACTTCTTTTTCTTTGCAGCTTTGGGTCCACTGTTTTTCTTTCTGTGTTTCTTCTGGTCCTTAGTCTCCATAGTGGCTATTTACCGCAGCTAGAGAGAAAGGTCAGCTTACTTACAAAGGAAATCCCATCAGGCTAGGAGTAGACCTCTCAGCAGAAACTTACAAGTGAGAAGAAACTGTGGACCTATTTTCAGCATTATTAAATAAAATAAACTCCAAACAATAATTTGATATTCTTCCAAAGAAAGCTTCATAAGCAAAGGAGAAATAAAATCCTTTTCAGACAATCAAAGCTAAGGAAATTCATGAGCACTAGACCAGTCTTACAAGAAGTCCTTAAGGAAGTGCTAAATGTGGAAATGAAAGAACAGTACCTGGCACCACAAAAACACAAGTACATGGCCCACAGACACCATAAAGGAGATACACAATCAAATCTACAAAGCAACCAGCCAACAATGTGATGACAGCATCAAAATCTCACATATTGATATAAACCTTGAAGGCAAATGGTCTAAATACCCAACTTAAAAGGCTTAGGATGGCAAAATGGATTAAAAAAATAAGGCCCAACCATATTCTGTCTTCAAGAGACCCATCTCACATGTAAGAACACCCACAGGCTCAAAGTAAAGGGATGGAGAAAGATCTATCATGCAAATGGAAAACAAAACGAAAGCAGGGGTCACTATTCTTATATCAGATAAAACAGACTTTAAACCAACAATGATCTAAAAGGACAAAGTAGGGCATTACACAGTGACAAAGGGAAAAATTCAAAAAGAAGAGTTAACTATCTTAAATATACACACAGCTAACATTGGAGCACCCGGATTCATAAAACAAGTTCTTCTGGACCTATGAAAAGACTTAGTCACACAATAATATTGGGAGCCTTCAACACCCAACTGGCAGGATTAGAGAGATCATCAAAGCGAAAAATTAATTAATAAAGAAATTCTGGTCTTAAATTCAACACTTGACCAATTGGACTCAATAAATATCTACAGACTAGTCCACTCCAAAACCATAGGATATACAGTCTTCTTATCTGCACATGGAATATACTCTAAGATCGACTATATGCTCAGCCATAAAGCAAATCTGAAAAAGATTAAAAACACTGAAATCATCTCAAGCATACTCTCAGACCACAGTACAATAAAAACAGAAATTACTACCAAGAAGATCTCCCAAAACTACACAATTACTTGGAAATTAAACAACTTGCTCCTAAATGACTTTTGGGTAAACAAATGAATTCAGAAATCAAAAAAATTCTTTGAAATTAATGAAAACAGAGACAAAACAAATCAAAATCTTTGGGATGCAGCTAAAGCAGTGCTAAGAGTATAGTTTATAGTGCTAAATGCCTACATCAAAGAAGTTAGGAAGATCTTAAATGAACAACCTGATGTCTCACCTAGAGAAACTAGAAAAAAAGAACGAATCAATCCCAAACTAGCAGAAGAAAACAAATAACCAAAATCAGAGCAGAACTGAATGAAATTAAGATGGAAAAATGCATACGAAAGATCAACAAACAATTTTTTTTTTTTGAGATGGAGTCTCGCTCTGTCTCCCAGGCTGGAGTGCAGTGACACAATCTCAGCTCACTGCAACCTCTGCCTCTTGGGTTCAAGCAATTCTCCTGTCTCAGCTTCCCAAGTAGCTGGGACTGCAGGTGCATGCCATCACACCTGGCTAATTTTTGTATTTTTAGTAGAGATGGGGTTTCGCCATATTGATCAGGCTGGTCTCGAACTCCTGACCTCAGGTGATCCACCCGCCTCGGCCTCCCAAAGTGCTGGGATCACAGGCATGAGCCACCGCGCCTGGTCTGTTTTTTGAAAGAATAAACAAAATTGATAGACTGCTAGCTAAACAACAAAAAAAGGAAAATCTAAGCCCAATCAGAAATGACAAAGATGACATTACAACTAATCCCACAGAAATATAAAAGATCTTCAGAGATTATTATAAATATCTATGCACACGAAAAATAGAAAATCTAGAGGAAATGAGTAAATTCCTGAAAACTCCCAAGATTCAACCAGGAAGAAATTCCTGTTCAAGAAAACCTGAACAGACCAATAATGAATTCCAAAAGTGAATCAGTAATAAAAATCCTACCAACCAAAAAAAGCCCTGGACCAGACGGATTCACAGCTAAAGTCTACCACATGTACAAAGAAGAACTGCTACCAATCCTACTGAAACCATTCCAAAAAATTCAAGGAGGAGGGACTCCTCTCTAACTCATTCTATGAAGCCATTATCAACTTGATACCAAAATCTGACAGAGACACAATGAAAAAAAAGTTCAAGCCAATATCCCCGATGAACATAGAGGCAAAAAAAAAAAAAAATCCTCAACAAAATACTAGCAAAACAAATGTAACAACACATCAAAAAGATAATGCACTATGACCAAGTGGGATTTATCCCCAGAATGCAAGTATAATTTGACATATGCAAATCAATAAATGTGATATATCAACAGAATGAATGACAAAAACCATATGAGAATCTTAATAGATGTGGAAGAAGCATTTGATAAAATTCAACATGCTTTCATGATAAAAAAAAAAACTCTAAACAAATGAGGCATAGAAGGAACATATCTAAACACAATAAAGACGATATATGACAAACACACAGCTAAGATCATACTGAATGGGGAAAAGCTCAAAGCCTTTCTTCTAAGAACTGGAAAACAGGTCAAGAATGCCCACTTTTACCACTCTTATTCAGTATAATGTTGGATGTCCTAGCCATTGCAATTAGTCAAGAGAAAGAAATAAGGGGCATCCAAATTGGAAAAAAAGGAAATTAAATTGTCCTTCTTTGCATGTAACATGACTATATATTCATATATTCATATATATATGTATATATATATATATCCCCCAAAACTAATGACTCTACCAAAACACTCTAAGAACTAATAAACTAATTCAGTACAGTTGCAGGATACAAAGTCGACATACAAAAATCAGTGATATTTCTAGACTCCAATAACAAACTAGCTGAAAGGAAATAAAGAAGGTGATCTTATTTACAATAGCTATTAAAAAAAAAAACACCTAGGATAAATTTAACCAAAAAAGTAAAAGACTTCTATGAGGAAAACTATAAAACACTGATGAAAGAAATGAAGAGGACAGAAACAAATGGAAATAATCCTATGCTAATGAATTGGAAAATGGAATACTATGCAGCCATAAAAAAAGAGTGACATCCTGTCATTCACAGCAATATGGACAAGTCTGGAGAACATTGCATTAAGCAAAACAAGGCAGGCACAGAAAGATAAATACTGCATGTTCTCATTTATATATGAGAGCTAAAAAATCAAACTCATGGAAGTCAAGAGTAGAACTGTGGGTATTAAAGATGATAAGGAAAGGTTGGCTAACAAATACAAAATTAAGCTAGATAGGAGGAATGAGCTCTGGTGTTCTGCATCACTGTAGGGCAAATATGGTTAATTATAATTTATTGTATATATTTAAAGAGCTAGGAGAGAAGATTTTTGATGTTCACAACACAAAGAAATGACAAATGTTTGAGGTGATGCATATGTTAACTACCTTGATCTGATCACTACACATTGTATACATATATCTAAATATCACTCTCTGTACCCCACAAATATGTACAATTATTACATGTCAACTAAAAATAAAAGGAAAAACAACATAGATGGAATCATTTTAACAGATAAAACTTGAGAATAAAAATAATCATAAAGGAAATATTGTAATCATCACATCTGATTCCTGTGTCTATCTCTTAGCTGGTTCCAAATTAAAAACAAAAGTAAAGGATTGTGAATTATTGACTCAAACTCAATTATATTACTATGTTTATTTTGCAAATGAGAAAACTAGATTTGAGAGAGGATGAGCAATTTACCCAAAGTCACCAAAATCTAAAGTATGTGGCAAAACAGGCAGTCAAACAGGGACCCCTCATTAACTCAGAAGTCTACATTTTTTCTCACATTCTTATGTGCTTGTCACTTATATTCATTAAAAACAGGCACATTCCATCAACATTCTCTAGTAAGAGTCTAAACACCCCGTGTAAGATACAGGGAAGGAAAAGGAAATGGAACTCACATTTTCTGTGTATCTATTATGTTCCAGACACTGTCCTAAGCCATTATTTACAATACATACTTTAATCCTCACAAACACCCCCAGGAACCTGCAGCAAGTTCGGTGAGAATCAGGTATCCAAAGCTCATGTGCTTTTGATTTACTAAGTTGCTTTTGAAGACCAAATATTAGTCTTCCAAATGATCAGGCTATTAAATGTAGTGTGTAAACACCAACAGCATCAGTGTATCTGCTTGATTCACACACTTACTGAACAGTTCTTTACGATGGCACAGAACACGACATCCACACATAGGAACACCCCTGTCCGGCCTATGCCGGCACTGCAGTGAACAACCATGGGTCCTGTAAGGTGGCTCTTCCTTGCATAACGAATATATTTTATGAAGCTATCTGCTGAGGCAGGAGTGCCATGGTCTGGCCACTTGGTGAACTGCAACTGTTTTACAGAGTGACTAGTTCCCGTCTGTTAGAGAAAGAAACAGAGCGAGAAAGACATTTATTGATTTCTTATATTAGAGACCTCACGCCAACTTCTAATATTCAAATGATAATAATAATGGCTATATGGTATTACCTTGGTATTATATAGAACTTTCAAAAAGTACTCAAACCTCTTTTTGATGTTTATAAGAATTCTGGAAGTTGCTAGGAATAGAGGTTTTCTCCATTTTACAAAGGAGAGCACAGTAACAACAATAAAAATACCAGTATTAACAGGTAACAAAAATTAAGCACTTGCTATGTGGCAGTTACTATGCTAGGGGCTTCACATGAATTCTCTCCTTTAATCTTCACATCAACCATGTGAGATAGGCACCATTTTATCTCCATTTTACAGATGAAAATTTAAGGATGAGGGGGACGAGAGATGTATGCTAGGTCAGAAGGTTCACACGTTTAGAGCTGGAACTGTAATGTAGGTGTCTTGAATTCTAATCTACCATCATTCTTCTGTACCATGAGGCTACAGGAAAACCAAGATTTCAAAATGCTTAGAGTGAGAGATGGACTGTCATGTTAGGAATAAGACCAAAAGGCAAAGTATCTTAGTTTAGAAATGACATATGAAATTTAATTAAGACATATAGGTGTCTGACAAGAGAGGCACCGATCTCTTCCAGCGATGAAGACAGGGTAGTCAATGACCATGAGAGTAGATTGTGGGTCCCACTATTGTGCTGAGCCCCCTTGAAGTGGAGTCATGAAACTCTTCCCAGCATTGTCAGATAAAGCACTTTGAATTTACCTATATCTCATCCAAAGGGATCATGACCCTTTCCTCAGTGTGGGGCCCTTATTTTATCACACATGGGACCCTAATGGAAGAACTCAAAATGAGTTTCTCACTTCTCCTATGCTTCTCCCGAATGCACCTCTTTTTCCTAAGCTTCCTGAATAAAGATGCTAGTGCTCAGAGCTCTATTCTAATCCACAGTGTCGACTGAAATTTGTGATAGTTAATTTTATCTGTCAACTTGGCTGAGCCCTGGTATCCAGATACTAGGCCAAATATTATTTTGTGCCTCTGTGAAGGTATTTTTTAGGTGAGATTAACATTTAAATTGGTAGAATTTGAGTAAAGCAGGTTATTCTCCATAAAGTGGGTTGGCTTCATCTAATCAGCTGAAGGCCTTAAGAGAACAAAAACTGACCTCCCATGAGCAAGAAGGAATTCTACCAGCAGATTGCTTTTGGACTCAAACTCCAATTCTTCCCTGGGTCTTCAGCCTACTTTCCCACCCTGCAGATTTGCCAACCCTCCACAATCACTTGAACCAACTCCTTAAAATTAATCTCTCTCTCTGGATCAGTCCCATAACCTGTATTCAGGGATCTCAATGTTATACTGCTAGAAAAATACACATAATCACATATTTTGTTGCTACTACAAATGTATGGGTCAAACCTCAGCATCACTCAGCAACCCTTTTCCTGGTGATTGTGCTCCAATCAACTTCTTTGGTGATGACTCCAAAACTCACCATTCTCTGCAAGTTTCCTGTTCAACTCCTATTCCCTTCACTCGTGTTAACACATGTATCACCTACCTGCCAACTGAATCCACTAGAGCAATCTAACTCATTGCTTTCTCCTATAAACCATTCCTTTTCTGTTTTCTAAGTCTATTAGACCAAGGAATCCATGAATTATTCTAGACCAATGCTTCTCAACAGAACTTCCTATACTGAAGCAAATGTCTTAAATAGTGGCAATATAGTAGCCACTATCAACATGCCACTCATAAGCCCTAAAATGTGGCTACTTGCAGGTGAGGAACTCAATTTGTTATTTTACATAAATTTAAATAACTTAAATTTAAACTTAAATATCCACATGTGGTTACTGTATTGAATATATTTTCAACCCCTCCTCTGTCACTTATAAATCATAAGTCATAAGTCACGTATGTCTCCCAATTTTATCTGCAAAACACTTGCGTCTGTGCTTTCCACCCCCATGCCAACAGCCGTAGTTGATCATGTCACTTACTAAAATTCTTCAATGTCTCCCAATTATCTTCATAATAAAGTTCATGCTACTTAGCTGAAATTTAAGACATTTCACATTCTAGCTGGCCCCTGCTTACTTTTGAGAACATCATCTCATCTTTTATTACTCCCTGGCACTGAACTTTTACATTTCAGAAACACTTAACTACTTATATTTGTCTCTACACACACCTTATGCTATTTTATATTTTGATCATCTACTTTCTCCCTCCATCTTTTTCATTTGCATAATTCTCAAAACAAATGCCACCTCCTCCAGTAAACCTGTCTCAAAACCCCAAGTAAAGCCAAGTGTTTACCTTCTGAGCCCCAAAGTGCCCAAGACATATCTCAACATTATCACTGAACACGGTAAGTTAGGTATCTATCAGTGAGTGTAACCAACCTCTCCACTATTCGGTAAGTACTGATAGTGCCTGGCCCAGTGATTAGCATACTTTAAGGACTCAATACGTATCTGCTACATTTGGCAGAGGCAGGTATAACCCAGAATCAGACAACTTCAACAGTCACTCTCCCTGCCCCACCTCTCTTTTCCAATTTTTTCTTCTCCACAGAATCTGGTTGAGGAGAAGTAGAAGTGGTGGTGGCTTCTGGTACCAGGGACAAGTAAAAAGTTACTTAAGAAGTATCATCGATCGATTTTCCATCCTACTCCTAACTTCTAGTTCTAAGACATCTGCTTATGTGGTGAAACATATATCTAATACTGATGTTTAAAAACTTACGGACTTCTCCACAACTTGAAACATTCGAATGATGAAATATTGAAGTATCTGGTAGTTCTCCAGGAATACACGGAAGTGTTTCAATTCCAATGGCTTCTTCAGAGAAATGGGCCAGTAATGGTAGCATTTGATAATTCCACCTTCTATCTCTCTGGTTATCATGGCAATAACATTCGAATTATTTTCCAACACCATTTGCCAAAAGTCATCTATGGTGCTCAGCAGTGGTCCTTGAGTAGCGATATAAAAATACTCTTCTCCACAATTGACTATTCTAATATAACTAGCATTGATGTAGTCCTTGCTTTTTCCAAGAGGAACGTGTGTTGAATCATCTATTACAGAAACAGAAACATCTGGTAGATAAAGGTGGGAGATACATCACACCCAGACTTCACGAAAGGATTTCACACATGTAAATCCATATATCTCTTTGACCAATAGAGAAGATGGCCTAGGAGTTTCTTTTCAAAATGGTTGAGTCCATGAGTTTAAATTATTTCCTCCCTGAAAACTATTGGCATGACCGAAGAAATATACAATTATGGGATGTTTATTTTTCAAATCAGTTTTTAATAAATGCAGAATGATATCATTAGCATCCAGGTACTTTTGGAAATTTCTGCTAGAAGTGGCATGGGCAAGGTTAAGTCAAGGGAAGTATCCTATAGTTTGCAACTGAACACAACAGAGGAGAAACTCTTTGTGGGAGTAAATGAGTGATATTATCCTGCAAATCTGAAACCTGCAAACCCAGAGCAGCAGGAGCCAGGGGAAAAAAAAAATCTGATAGTTGACTGCAGACAAATTCTAGGATTAATGGAATTCCACCACTGTCCCCAAACTAGACAGCCATATTTTATGTCCATTCTCAGCCTTCATCTGGTGATAGGACATGTTATTCAAAGCAAAGATATTGTGGCAAAAGGATGCTACCAAGGGGAATTGCTCCAAGTAATATGGGACTCATCTAACATGGACTGTTATAACAAATACGAGAGGGAAAACCAGCTATTTGGCCTACTAACCTTCACTGCTCCAGGAGTTCCTTCTTCACCTGATACAGACATCTGAAGCTCTGGTTCCACCACCATCCCCACACTGAGAGCAGAAACACACACAGCAAAGGAGGCCCTTCTCTGCCATGCAGCTCTCTCACCAATAACCTCTCCTTACTACTCAGAATCACATGGACCACTTATCTAGTAAATATGCTGACAAGACCTGAACAGGCATTTATATAATATCTGGCAGAACTCTTCTCAAATTTTAACATAGCACACAGAAACTTTCCCTTGTAAATATGAATGAACAGAAAAAAACAGCCAGGTGCGGTGGCTCACATCTATAATCCCAGTTACTCAGGAGACTGAGGCAGGAGAATCGCTTGAACCAGGGAGGCGGAGGCTGCAGTGATCTGAGACCGTGCCACTGTACTTCAGCCTGGGTGACAGAATGAGTGAGACTCCATCTCAAAAAAAAAAAAAAAAAAAAAAACGCTAGATATATAAAGATACCCGGTATTTCAAAAAGGGAGACCATTCTAAAAAATCACAACAAATATTCTCCTTTCTATAAAAGAAGATAACACCTTAAAAACTCCTATTTGTATATTAAATAAAATTCAAGAGAGCATTATTTAAAACAATACTTTATACCTATGTTTACTAACAAATATGTTATATTACTAAATTATAAAGGTGATAACAATGGCTTTGTATGGAGATCTTTCATCATATTTATGTAGATATATGATGATATATGTCATATAATAATAATAAGCCTGGCAAGTGTTCATCACAATGTTAGCAGTAGTTATTACAGTATCTAAACCATATAAATTACTTCATAGTAAAAAAAGCATTTTTTAAATTTTGAAATGAGATTAAATATGTGAAAATTAAATAATCTAAAATAATAAAAGCTTGATTTCATATAAAAGTCACAATCATTCAACTCAAACTCCTAAAGCAGGAATTGAACAGAAAAACAAATTTATGTTTAGAAAATCAGCTTAAAAAATTTTCCCAGAACTCAGAAAAAAAAGATTAAAAAAACCTACAATAATGATTAAAATGGTAAAAGACACAGTGCATACAAGGGGAATGTAAAAAACGAATTTCAGAAGCAAACTGTGGAATTCACTGCAGAAAAGAAATAATTCAAGTGATCATAGGAAAGCTCCCTAAACAGAAGCAGGAGTACTAACAGAATGCAGTGAAACATGCATACCAGGTTCAAGCAGCATGATACGCTACATGTATCACCTTGTCAACTCCAAAACAAACCTTTGAGGGAGGTGCTATTATATTCATACTTTTCAAATAAAGAATCTGTACAAAGTAACTTGTTCCATATTACGCAGCAATCTTCTAGACTCCACAGACTAGGTAAATCTAGACTCTGGTCCAAAAATAATTCCATGCTCTGTTGTCCATCAAGGAAGACTCAAGTTTGCAGACAGAAAGGCCTAAGTGTCAGACAACATTAATGAAGAGAGCCACTAAGACCCCTAGACCAGCAGAGCATAAGGCCACAGGAACAGGAACAGGAAGCAAAAATTATGCTAATGGATGACTAGGGGTAATGGCAACTGGTGCCACTCCCATTTCCACCCCTTGATTCTTGAATCTTGGCTATGGTAGAAACAGCATCATATATTGGATGCTGACATGGGGCATGTATAATCTCCTGAAGAACATTACCCCAGCCCTGCAAGGTACTGCCACCTAGCTTTCACTGTAATTGAGTCTTCAAAAGGCCATTCATCCATTCTGTCAAGCCAGCCGCTTTGAGAGGATAAGGAATATGGTAACATAGTGGCAATGAGGCCATTGCCACAAGGTATTTGCCACAAAGTGAGTTCTTTGATTACAGCAATGCTGTATGGAATACCATGATGGTGGATAAGGCATTCTGTAGGTCCACAGATGGTAAATTGGTGGGAGCACTGTGTGCAGGGAAGGCAAATCCATACCCAGAGTTACTGTCTATTCTAGTAAGAAAAAAGCACTGCTCCATGCATTATGGAAGTGGTCCCAGTGTAATCAACCTGCCATCAGCTAGCTGGCTGATCATCCCATGGAATAGTGCCCATCAGGTACTCAATGTTGGTCTCTGTTGCTGGCAGATTGGACACTCAGTAGCAGCTGTAGCCAGGTCAGCCTTGGTGAGTGGAAGTCCATGTTGCTGAGCTCATACATAACCTCCATCCCTGCCATTATGGCCACTTTGTTCATGAGACCTATGGGCAATGACACAATGACAGGGGTGACTGGGGGTATAGTCTAGCTGATATTCATAGAGCATGTCACTCTATTCACCTGATTATTAAAGTCTGCCCCTGCTGAGATCAACCTTTGGTGAGCATTCACATGGGATACAAATATCTTTGTGTTTGTGCCTATCTAGCAAGATCTATTCACGTGCCTCTTCCCCAGACCTTATTGTCACCAATTTTTCCAACCATGTTCCTTAAAATTCCCTGACCATCCAGCTAAGCCATTAAACATAGCCCATGAATCAGTACACATTTATACGTCTGGCCATTTCTCCAAGCAAAAAACAAAAAAACAAAAAGCACCAAGTGCACTACCCAATGTTCTGCCCACTGGGAGTTATTTCTCTTCACCACTGTCCTTCAGAGATGTCTCAAAAAAGGGGCTGTAGTGCTATAGCTGTCCTCTTCTGGCTGGTACCTTTATATCACGCAGAACCTTCTGTAGACCAGGTCCAAGTCTTCTCTTCTTCTGTCAGCTGATCATAGGCAACTCCTCATGAGACAACAGGTGCTGGCTGAAGAGAGCAGGTAATGTAGCAGGGGTGGGAACAGTGAGCATTTGGGCAGCTTCTTCGTGTAACTTATTTGTGCCTTCAGGATCTGCTCAAGCCCAATGTTGTATCTACCACTTTCATTTGATGGTGGAGTGCTGCTGTGTATGCCCAACTTTATGGCTTGGTGGCCCATAGTTAAGCATTCTCTACTTAGTTCTCTATGAAGCAGTCTCTACCAAGGCCCAGTAGCAGGCCAAAAGCTGTTTCTCAAAAAGAGAGTCCAGAGAGGGTGGCAGGAATTTGCTCTAAAATCCTACGTGCCTGCACTGTGATTCATCTAAAGGGGTCTGCCAAAGGTCCAAACAGCACCCTTATCTGCCAATGACACTTCAAGCACCACTGGATCTGCTAGATCATACAGCCCACGTGGCAGAGAGGCTTGCATGGCAGACTGATCCTGTTTCAGAGCCTTCTCTTGTTTTGGGCCCCACTCAAAACTAGCAGCTTTTCACATCACTTAGTAAATGGACCAGAGTAGCACATCAAAATAAGGAATGTTTCCTCCAAAACGCCCTGGTTCACTAGCCATTGTGCCTCTTTTTTGCTTGTAGGAAGAGCCAGATACAATTTATCCTTCACCTTATGATTATCTCCACATGTCCCACAACACTGGACCTCTAGAAATTTCACTGAAGTAGAAGGCCACTGAATTTTTGTTGGATATATCTCCTACCCTCTGACAGACAAATAAGACTAAAGCATTTGCTGCTTCTTGTTCACTAGATCCAATCAGCACAATGCCATCAATGTAATAAACCTCTGTAATATCCTGTGGAAGGGAAAGGTGATTGAGATCCCTGAGAACTAAATTACAACATAGGGCTGAAGAGTTAATACACCCCTGAGGTAGGACAGTGAGGGTGTATTGTTGGCCCTGCCAGCTGAAAGTAAACTACTTTTGGTGTTCTTGATTAATAGGTATAGAGAAAAAAGCATTTCCCAGATCAATAGCTACATAGCAGGTATGAAGAGATGTGCTGATTTTCTAAGGCAATGAAACTATATCTGGTATAGCAGCTGCAACTAGAGTCACCATCTGAGGAAGCTTACAATAATCCACTGTCATTCTCCAAATTCCATCTCTTTTTTGTGTAGGTCAAATAGGTGAGTTGAATGGGATGTGATAGATATCAACATCACTTCATCCTTAAAGTCCTTGATGGAGGCATTAATATCAGCAATCTCTTCAGGAATGTAGTATTGCTTTTGCTTTTTTACTATTTTCCTAGGTAGAATCAGTTCTACTGGCTTCCACTGGCCCTTTCCTGCCATAATATTCCTCACTCCACAGGTCAGAGAAGCAATGTGGGGATTCTACCAGTTTCTGAGTATGTTTATTCCAATTATTCATTCCAGGGCTTGGAAAATAATCACAAGATGGTTTTAGGGACCTACTGAGTCCACTGTGAAATGAACTTGAACTAAAGCTCCATTGACTATCTGACCTCCATAAGCCCCTGCTTTGATTTGTAGACCACAGTGATGTTTTGGGTCTCCTGGAATTGGTGTCAGTTCAGAGCCAGTGTCCAGTAGTTTCTGAAAGTTCTGACTATTTTCTTTTTCCAAATGTACAGTCACCCTGGCAAAAGGCTATAGATCCCTTTGGAGAAGGCTGAAAGATTAACAGTATACATTTTTAGCAGTGTGCCAGGGTCCTCCCTTTCATTCAAGGTGTTCTCTGTGTGTAAACCGGCTCAAGTCTGGGAAGTTATTGACTGGTTGTGATTCTCTGTTCCTATGGTTCAGGTTAGAATTTTGCTCACTTGACCTAGAACTCTTCTGCTTACACCTATCAAGGAAGAATTCAGTAGACATCCCATCTAGTTCACTTCTAGGAACACCATGATCAACTAATCAACACCACAGGTCTCTACAGGTCAGACTGTTCTGATTGCTGCTTTGACTCTGCTATTACCATACCATGCTCACCTTGCCTTTGGCTATCAAGTGCCACCACCTGGCCCTTATCTCTCTGGGATCCAATTATACCCACTGCATTCAGGTTTCCCAACTCAGTGGCAGCAATTTCCACTGCAATATCTGAACTACAGAGAAGAACAATCACAGTATTCTTCAAGGATTCTGGGACTCGCCTCACAAATATATTTCTCACAGTTATGAGAAAAGTACATCCTCTGGACCTCCTGGGGTGGGTTGGCAGGTCTTAAATGATAAACCTAATCTAATATTCCAATCTCCCTAATCCTTTGGATCACAGTATATAGTATATCGAGGCAGTTCTGGCATTTTATCTTCATTTAGACTGGGCCACCTTTTGGTCCATTTAATACAACCAACCAAATAAACTGTAAGAGCTCTTTCTAACTCCCTAATCCACATATTAAGTCCAGAATCTCTTCTTTGTGGTCCCATTTCAATAAATTCAGCCTGATCAAACACTAAGTTCCTTCCACCATTGTCCCACACCCTTAAAATCCCTCCCCACAAATATTTCCCAGATTTCTGTCAGTATAAATTGGAAAAATCATGTAGCTCTTTTGTAGTGTAACATACCTCCCCATGGGTCACACTTTGTACCTTACCTTTAAGGGCCTGCTGGGACTTGAGTCTAGTTATAGGTCTAGAAGCAATGAAGGATGGTAGCTGTGAGTCTTGAGAAGAATCAGCAATGTCTTGCAAGGCAACAAACTCAGGGGAGGTAATAAAAGTTTCCTCAGGTAAAGTAGCATTAATCTCCTCAGATGGGGGTGGCATGGCTGCTTTTACTGGCAAGGAAGACTCATCAGGGTCAAGGGGTTCGATACACCCAGCTTTATAAGGCTCTTCACATATGTCTGCACTCCAGTTTTCAAGATCCCATTCCTTCTCAGTTAATGCCCTCATTTTAACAGCAGACACCCTAAAAGGGTGGGGATTCAATTTGCACTGTAATTCAGCCATTTTCAGGATGAGATTTTGGGTTTGGTTTTCAATAATCTCAGCTTTGTTGTTATAAAATATAAGAGTTTCTTTCAGGGCAGAAAGAGAAACTTTTGGGTTATTCATGCGGCACTTGAGCTGGGAAATTTAATCCCTAAGATCATCCTTTCCTTCTCTACATTAGGAGTAACTAGCCAATCTCATTGTTCTCATGAGAACTCAAAAATGTTCTAAGGTATCAAATACAGATGCCCAGAACCTTGCTTCTTGTAAATGTCTGAATAGGATTACCTAATGGCAATACTTTGCATATCTCTACTGTCACATTACACTATGAATTATTAATACTCTATTCACTACTGAAAAGTCATTAATGCCTTTACATCTTATCAGATTAGGGAAGTAATTCATAAAACTCATCCTTAAAATTCTGTTCTATTGCTCTCAGTACCAAATTCTGTTACTCTAGATTCTCTAGATAAATAGAATCAATAGGCTGTATATATACAGTGAGAAAGATTTATTTTAAAGAACTGACTCATGATTGTGGGGACTGGCAAGTCAATATCTGCAGGGCAGGCCAGCAGGTTAGACCCCAGGGAAAAGCTGACATTGTAGTCTTGAGTGCAAAGGCAGTCTGGAGGTAGAATTCCTTCTTCCTCTGGAAATTTTAGCGTTTTTTTCTTAATGACTTCAACTGACTGAATAAGGCCCACTCTCGTTATGGAGGCTAATCAGCTTTACTCAAAGTCTGCTAATCTAAATGTTAATTACATCTTTTAAAAAATACCTTCACACCAACATCCAGACTAATATTTGACCAAATAGCTGAGTATCATAGCCTAGCCTAGTTGACACATGAAATTAACCATTAAACAAGCTAAAAATTTTAGTAGATGATTTGAAGGAGGAAATTTTTTAAAAACTTATATTAGTTTCCTATAAAACCAAGTGAAAGAAAAAAATAAGAATAAAAATGAGAGAGAGAGAGAGATAGAGAAAGTACTTGCAAAACTACAGAGGTAAAAGAAGTAACGAGAAAAGGTTTTATAAGATAGAACCAAGAGGCAACCCTAAAATTCATAGAAACTAAAAAAAAAAAAAAAAAAAAAGACAAGAGTACACTGAAGAGTAGAAATTACAACTAAAGGAAGATCAATTAAAGGGTTTATTTGTCTAGGTAAGAATGATGGAAATGAAGCATACCTGGTAACATTATTTAATTCCAGGAAAATAGTTAAAGATTTTGAAATAAAAGAGCATATTTCTCATGAAGAAAAGGAGTCAGATGGCCATTACAGTTCTCATCTAAAACACTGGAAGGAAGAGGACAGTGAAGTAACACTCAGGGAAAAAAAATGAGAAAAAAAAGAACTAAAACCCAAGATTCCTAAAACCAACAAGGATATTCGTTTATCAGGATAAAAAAAAAAAAAAAAAAGTAGAGCTTGAGACTGCATCAACTACTTATACCCATCTCCAATCAAACAATTAATTCATCAGAACAGTGATTTCAAATTAAGGGAAAAGGGAAAGAAAATGAAGTAATAGCAACAAATACTACAAAACATAGTTTCATATCTATAAGAAGAATGACGAGAGCCAGGCATTCCAGCTACTTGGGAGGCTGAGACAGAAGGATCACTTGAAGCCAAGAGTTTGAGACCAGCCTAAGCAAAAGCGTGAGTCCCTGTTTCTAAAAAAAAAATAAATGAATAAAAAATTAGCTGGGTATGGTGGCACATGCCCATCCCCATAGTCCCAACTACTTGGGAAGCTGAGGTGGGAGGATTGCTTGAGCTCAGGAGTTTGAGGTTTCGGTGAGCTATGATTATGCTACTGCACTCCAAGTAGACTCTGATTCTTAAAGAAACAAAACAGCTGGGTGCGGTGGCTCATGCTTATAATCCCAGCACTTTGGGAGGCCGAGGTGGGTGGATCACCTGAGGTCAGGAGTTCGAGACCAGCCTGACCAACATGGAGAAAACCCATCTCTACTAAAAATACAAAATTAGCCAGGTGTGGTGGCACATGCCTGTAATCCCAGCTACTCAGGAGGCTGAGGCAGGAAAATCGCTTGAACCCAGGAGGCAAAGGGTGCGGTGAGCTAAGACTATGCCACTGCACTCCAGCCTGGGCGACAGCGAGACTCCATCTCAAAAGGAGAAAAAAAAAAAGGTTTCTTGAAATAGGAAAGAAAACAATGTACAATAAATACAGTGGTGGTTAGGCCTGGGTTTGAATCCCAGATCTCTCTCCTATTTGCAGTGTGAATGTGAGAAAATTACTTATCTCTTTTAGCCTTTCTGTAAACAAGGACACTAACATACTGACACCTTAGAGGTAGGTTGTTGTGGGGATTAAACATTACTACCTATAACAGACTTAAATTAGTAATAAGCAATAGTAATAAACATATTAGTGTTACTACTACTATTATTATTAGTGGGTGGTAGTAGCAGAAACAAACATAGAGCAACCTCAAGAAGTACAGAAAGAAGCTTGTTAAATCTCTGCCTTGAAGAGCTTGTTTTCCCATCTATCTATATTATAATGCTGAAGTGTATGAAAATTTTTTAAAAGTGTAATATACCTTTTGCACTCACAAACCACCTTTTTAACAGTTTATGGAGGTAAAACTGTCATACATGTGCACCCATGAGACCACCACCACAATAAAGATAATTAAACATCTCCATCAGTGCAAAACTATCCTCATGCCTCTTTATAATCTATCCTTCTTGCTCTCATCTTGCCCCAAGGCAACCACTGAGACGTTCTGTCAATACAAATTAGTTTAAATTTTCTAACATTTTATATATGTGGAAGCATACAGTATATTAGTTTTCTAGGTTTGAAATTTATTTTCACATTCTGGAGGCTGGAAGTCCAGTATTGTTATGGTTTGGATGTTTGTCCTCTCCAAACCTTATGTTGAAAACTGATCCCCAACATTGGAAGTGGGGCCTAATGGGAGGTTTTGAGTCATGGAGACAAATCACTCATGAATAGATTGATGCCCTTCCTCAGGGTTGAGTGAGTTCTCACTCTATTCACTGCTGCAAAAACCGATTATTAAAAAGGACCAGGCACCTCTCTCTCTCCCTCTTGTGTCCTCTTTCACCATGTAATCTCTGCACATGCTGATTCCACTTCACCTTCTACCATGAGTGGAAGTAGCCTGAAGCCCTCACTAGAGGCCCAATCTTGAACCTTCCAGCCAGCAGAACTGGGAATTAAATAAACCTCTTTTATTTATAAATTAACCAGCCCCAAGTATTCCTTTATAGCAATACAAAATGGAATAAGACAGAAAATTGGTACTGAGAATTGGGGTGTTGCTATAAAGATACCTGAAAATGTGGAAGCAGTTTTGGAACTGGGCGATGAGCGGAGGTTGGAAGTGTGTGGAAGGCTCAGAAAAAGACAATAATATGAGAGAGTGTCTGGAAAAAGTGCCCAAAGGCACTTCAGAAATATTTGGGGCCACCCCTTCCCTAATAGGCCCAAGGCCTTCTGGGGACAGACCTGGAGCACCACTGCCCTTGGCCACCTCAGGATGCTGCTCCCCACATCCTGGCTGCTCTGGCTCCAGCAGTGGGTCAAATGGCCCCAGGTAGGGTTTGGGCCACTGCTCCTGAGGGGCTAAGTGGTAAGCCTTGGTGGCATTCATGTGGTGTTAAGTCTGCAGGCATCCAGAATGCAAGGGACATGGAGGCTTGGCAGCTTTAACCTAAATTTCAGAGAATATATTAAAAAGCCTGGGAAAGCAGGCAGATGCCTATTGCAGGAGTGGAGCCACCAAAGAGAGCCCCTACCAAGGCAATCTTTAGTGGAAATGTTGGGTTGGAGTTTCCTTAGAGTCCCCACCAGGGCAACTCTTAGTGGACCCACAAAGGTGTTGGAACCCCACAATAGTAGAGCTATCCACAGCATTCCACCTCAGCCTGAAAAAGCTGCAGCATTATTACAACCCATGGAAGCAGCCAGTGGTCTACGCCCAGCAAAGCTATGGGGGAAGGGCTACTCAAGGCCTTGGGAGCCCACCCCACACACCACTGTGACCAATATGTAGGAGATAGAGTCAAAGGAGATTATTTTGGAGCTTTAAGATTTAAAGTGTGCCCTGCTGTGTTTTGGACTTGCATGGGGCCTATTATCCCTTTCTTTTGACCAATTTTTCCTTTTTGGAATGGAAACATTTACCCAGTGCCTGTACCACCATTGTACCTTGGAGGTAAATAATCTCTTTTTTGATTTTACAGGCTTACAACTGGAAAGAACTTACTTTGAGTCTCAGATGTGACTTTGAACTTTTAAGTTGGTGCTGAAACAAGTTGACTTTTAGGGACTATTGGGAAGGAATAATTGTATTTTGCAATGTGGTAAGAACATAAGTTTTAAAGGGCCGGGGGCAAAATGCTATGATTTAGATGTTTGGCCCTTCTAAACCTCATGTTGAAACTTGATTCCCAATGTTGGAAGTGGAGCCTAATGGGAGGTGTTTGAGTCACAAGGGCACATCCCTCATTAATAGATTAATGGCAGGAGTGAGCTCTCACTCTATTCGTTCTGCAAGAGCCTGGTACCTCCCCATTTCTCTCCTGCTTCCTCTCTCACCATGTGATCTCTGCATATGCTGGTTTTACTTCACTTTCCACCATGAGTGGAAGCAGCCCATAGCCCTCACCAGATGCCCACTCTTGAACCTTCCGGTCTGCAGAACTATGAGCTAACTAAATCCCTTTCCTTCATAAATTATTCCTCTATAGCAACACAAAGAAACTAAGACAAAGATCAAGGTGGCAGCAGGCTTGGTTTTTCCTGAGGCCTCTCTCCTTGGCCTGCCAATGGCTGCCTTCTTGCTGTGTCTTCACATGGACCTTTCTCTGTGCCTTTGGATCCCTGATGTCTCTTGTGTGTCCCAATTTCTTCTTTATATAAGGACATCTGATGGATTGGATTGGGCACACTCTAAGAACCTCATTTTATATTAATTACTACTTTAAAGGCCCTATCTCCAAATCAGGTCACATTCTGAGGTACAAAGGGTTGGAACTTCAACATACAAATTTTGGGAGAATTTAATTTGGCTCATAACACACAGTATATACTCTTTTGACTGGCTTATTTCACTGAGTAAAATTATTTTAAGATTCATTCATGTTGTTCAATGCATTGTTAGTCATTTTTTATTGCCTAGTTGCATTCTATTATGTAGACATACCACAATTTGTTTATTCACTCTTCCGTTGATGGGCATTTGCACTGTTTCCAGTTTTTGGCTATTATAAGTAAATCTGATATGAACATTAGTATATAAGTCTTTATGCAGACATATGCTTTAATTTCTCTTAGGTAAAACATATGAATAGAACTGCTAAATCATATGGTAGGTACATGTTTAACTTTATTAGAAACAAATTCCATTTCATTGCAGTGAGTGTAAAATGGTATCTCATTATGGTTTTAATTTGCATTTTCCTAATGATTTACAATGGTGAATATCATTTCATGCAATTATTTGCCATCCTTATATCTTCCTTGAGAAGTGTCTGCTCAAATTTTTTGCTCATTTAGTGTTGGGTTATTTGTCCTCTTCTTGATTTGTAGTAATTATAGATTATAAATATAAGTTTTTGTGAGATAAATGTTTTGCCTGTATTTTTCTTCTAGCCTGTTGCTTTCCTTTTTGGTTTTATAATAATATGCTTTGAAGAGCAGGGTTTTTTTTTTAATTTGATGAAGTCCAATTTATTTTTTTTCTTTTACAATTTGAGGGTTTTGTGTCCTATTTAGGAAAAATTTGCCAAAGCCAAGGGCAGTAACGTTTTCTCCTAGGGTTTCTTTCAGAAGTTTTATGTTTTTAACTCTAATGATAGGTCTATAATCTATTTTGAGTTAATTTTTATATAAGTTGTGAGGTAAGAATCAAAGTTCATTTTTGGTACATGAATATGCAACTGTCCAGATGATTTGTTGAAAGATTATCCCTTCCTTATTGTCTTGCATTAAATTTAGATATTATCATCTTCTCTGTTCTTCTCACATGATCATACAGAACACTCAATGAGAAATATATAAGCATGCTCTGAAAAGTGAGAAGCTAACAGAAACCTAAGTCACTACCTTTATTAGTTCTGAATAGGTCCCTGATAGATAAGTAACAGAAAAAATATTAGGCCAGGAGTTGGGGAACCTGTGTGACTCGCTCTTTTATTAGCCTTCAAACTGCTTTGTAAGTTGTGAAATGGTAAAGAAATGGAAGATATTGTCTTTATACCTAAAAATTCCTATACTACATAATAAAGGCCATTCTTGCTTGGCATGATGGTACAGGGCCATAAATATGACCATGCAAGTTGAAACCATGCGAAAGGACCTTTGTTGTTGTTGTTGTTGTTGAGACGGAGTCTTGCTCTGTCGCCCGGGGCTGGAGTGCAGTGGCGCTATCTCAGCTCGGCTCACTGCAAGCTCTGCCTCCTGAGTTCACGCCATTCTCCTGCCTCAGCCTCCTGAGTAGCTGGGACTACAGGGGCCTCCACCACGCCCAGCTAATTTTTTTGTATTTTTAGTAGAGACAGGGTTTCACCGTGTTAGCCAGGATGGTCTTGATCTCCTGACCTCCTGATCTGCCCGCCTCGGCCTCCCAAAGTGCTGGGATTACAGGCATGAGCCACCGCGCCCAGTCACAAAAGGATCTTAGTAATCAATAGGAAATATTATTCTTGTTTCATGGCTCTTAACATTTTTTGTGAAATCATTAAAAACTCACTTATTGCTGGCTATACATATATAGAGAAGCAAAAAATAGCAAGACTAATATTTAGAACATTGTAATTTAAAACATTAGAAATATTGGGAATTAAAGCATTTAATTTGTTAAAAAAAAAAAAAAAAAACTTACCCAGAGTAGTTTGAACAGTGTTTGCCTCTTCTTTTTGTTGTATAACTTACAATACAGAGTGAGCATTTTTTCTATGTCTAGGCTAACTTCCAAGTCTGGATCAGTTTCCACCTTTTATCCTTGGCACTTATATTGTTGTGAAATAGCTCCAAAGTTTCTTTAATGTCAAGTTTTCTACCATCATTGCTTCCCCTAGGTTGCCTTTATCCTTTTCCTCACAAGCACTTTGGTCATTCATGTCGGTAAGTTCCCCTTCCACAGGTGCCTTAGGCTGCAGCTCTAGGGTCTTTTGAGCAGTAGCAGTATCAGCATGTCCCTGGTCAGCTAGTTCTTCTATAACTCCATTCAAATTTCATTTCCAACATTATCACTTTTTATCCCTTTATTGCAGTTTCATCTCTCTCAGCCAAATCTCTCTCTTGATTATACATTTTGGTAAAAGGTCATAGGGGTTTACCATTGAGAGACAAGGAGACAATACAATCACATGCTTTGCTGTGTGTGAACTGAATAAGAGGCTCACAGTTACCTATCACTGACATATTTTGAAAGAAGTAACATTTATTAGTCACTGGTCATGATGCACATCTGTTATTTACATAGGGACTTGTGGACTAAAGTGCCAGCAAAGATGCTTACTACTTTAGGCAATTACTTGCAGTGAATATATTGTGGTAACTAAAATGTGAATTGTACTGTGGGACTGGTGTTATTTAGCTAAACACAGTAACTGATATTTGAGCATATTGGGGCCATGCAAAGTGAAGGTTCCCTATATTTGCAGTGTTCAAAGGTGTGTGAATTCATCTATTTAGTGTTCTCAGCATTTGAAGACGACAAATAAATTACTTCTTTAGCTTTCTTAATATGAGTCTTCAGGAACCTTTTCTATAAAGTCAAGAAATGTGTGATTAAAAAAACCACAGAGCTTTCTATGATGGCCACTTAAGTTGGCTGAGTTTCAGATTAGATTACACTGCGTTATGAGGTAGATATACCAATGGGCCTTTAAAAAGAATATGGTTGAATTATAGTTTCTTTTCTTTTATGAAAAGCCAAAAGTTTTACATAACTTCCCTTACTTTAATGATTTAACATTATTTTTATTATCTTTGAATTTCTTAGTTGTAACTCTTTTGATATCCAGAATAAAAACTTCAAGTCAGATCAAATATTATGTGTACCTTCTATTGTAAAATGAGCTTCTTACAATCCCGAGAGGCTAATTTTTAAGGCATGTTTGCTTTTAGTCTCCTTGAGGGCAAACTGCACATGCAGAAATAGAAATTATAAAATTTGGACCTTTGACATTTTGGAGAAGCAACAAATTATTAGTATTATTTATTAAAATGTCTAATCATGGTTCATTATTCTGATTTCAGAAGTATTCATCAATGCACTTCTCCACACTCTCCCCACAGAAGATAACAGAATAGCTTATTTTAACCATGTTGGATATGTACTTGTTTTTTATCATCATAAAGTTAGTTTCAATTCTAATAAACCAACTAAACATGAAGGTATTTATCTAGTGACCGCAGTCACTGTGTTCCACTCTGGTTTTTATAATAACTATCTCAAGTCTAGTAGGAGAAACAAAAGTGAAAATAATTAAAATATGGTTTGGTAGAAGGGGAGAGTGGTTACAAGATGCTGTGAGACTACTGGAAAAACACCAAACCTAGCTTTGAGGAAAATAAGAAAAGCCTATTGGAGCTGGTTAAGAAAGATAGCAGGAACTGCCTCAGCAAAGAAGGGATGAGTAGTTCTTTCAAGAACTGCAGGTTAAGAGGCATAAAAACCAACAAATAAGAAAAGAATTATGAATTCTAGATACCAAAAGAAGTTTTGTGGGAGAGCTAAGGCTAGAGAGGCAAACAGGTGAAATTCTTAGGCCATGTTAAACAACTGTACCATGATAGTAACAAAGAGCCAAGAAAGAGCTTTAAAAGAAGAGCTACATGTTCTGACTTGCATTTTAAGAAAATCTCAGTAGCTTTTGTGAATGATCAGAAAGGGAGGCAGTAAAGAAGAACGTAACCAGCTGAGAGGTAAAATGGGCTCAGTCTAAGTCAGCAGCAGTGGGAACTGAGAGATGGGGGAGGACCCCAGAGGTATTATGGAGGTAGAATCAACTGACTCCCTGTTTTCTGGTTTGAACTTGGTGATTACATAAGATATAGAATATAAGAAGAGGGTCAAGTTGGAGGAAGTAAAATAGTAAATTTAGTTTTGAAAAACTTTGACTTTGAAAGGAATGTGAGTTATGGATTGAGATATCCTGCCTAAGATTAAAATTGCATTGCTGTGTTTTGATTCTGCTCTTTGAATGGCCTGAGATGGATAACTCCTAAGAGTAACTGAGTGAGGAGGACAGAAGGTGCCACTACTCTCCCATCCAACACAGGGAAGCAATGTTAAGGCTCTGTGGAGACAATCAAAAGGCAGCCTCCTGTTGGAGAGCAGATTAACAGCTTTATTGTCCAGGATGAAGGATGCAAATAGCTCTTTTTTCGCGTGTCTAAACAAAATAGCCAGAGAAGGTGGTTAAGGCTTCGGGTACCAAAAGTGGTGTATGACTCAGACTATTGGATTTTATGTTTTGGAAGGCTCATGCTCTGAGAAGCAGCAATATATGAGAACAAGGCTGAAGGACTGCTGTAAAGGACCCTGTAACAGTGGCTGAAGGATGTACCAGAAAACAGAGGACCTGACTCTCTCATATGTAGCACATATCTTAGAATATGCCCAGATCACCCAGTGCTATGTACCAGAACCCTTTATCATGGTCACAGGCCAAAATGTCTCATACAAAAAGCCATACAGTGCCCTTTGCACTTTTTCTAAATGTAAACAGGAAAATAATCAAAACTATTTTTAGCTTACATGGAAGAATATCTCGGTATCTGTTTTTTTCTCTGTTGCTTGGTTGATTCCCAGAGTTGAACTCACCAGGCAGATTCTTAAGTTCTAAAGCCTTTAAAAGGTTAAAAATGAATAAATAAATAAATAATAAATTGTGTATTTACTATAACCAATAAAAAAGAAAAAAATATGCCTTTGTTTAGTGCTCATGATCCTTAAATCCCTATATGACATGACCTGCTATTTAATGTGTTGTATGATAAGTGAAGCTAGATCCTCATTTAAAAAGTGCTATATAAAATATCTCAAGTTTCACATGCCAATCAATGAGTTGGTTAATAAGAAAATGTTAAACTTTCTGGAGATACTTTCCACTTGAACTTCATTTTGTTCTTCTTTCATAAAAAAGGAAATACAAGCTATTCATTTCTCAGAACCTACCCACAGATCTATCATTTTATAAATAAAAATAACAAAATAACAACAACAAAAACATATAAACAAAAAATATATACAAACAGTCTCACAATTTACCCTTCCCCTTTGAAGAAATTATAGTTAGGACCCTAAGAATCCTTCCTTTCAAAAAATTTCTTTACCAAGTGTGAATTCAACAAACACTTATTACGCATTTAGTAGGTATCTGGCCCTGTTTCAGACACTGGAATACAGGGATGAATTGGATAATGGCCTCATCCTTAAGGAGTGAACAGAGTAGTTAGAGGACATGTAATCAAATACCATGTGACCAATGTACGGAGACAGTAGTATAAATGACAGCACTAGATTGCACCTAAAAGTCAAGAAGAAAAGCTCCTCAAAGGGAAATAGCCCTTGAACTGGGCCTTAGTGAGTCACTGGAAGTTAGCATATGAAAAACAGTGTGTACTTAGAAGGAAAGAGGAGAGAAGGTGAAGGGGTGGAAATAATGGAGGCATACATGTCCCTTTGGGAAACTGTGACTAATATGGTAATAAGAGCACAAAGCACATGATCTAGTCCAACAACAGACTAAAACTATAAAATATCTTGTTTCATATATAAATGAAATTAGGAGGTAGCTAGTCATACTTTATTAGAATATTTGTGGAGAAAGCCTGAAAATCTATACATTTTCAAAGCTCTTGGGTAACTCTTGTGTAGCCAACCTAGCAACCGCTGCCATGGGGAACAAGGAGCCTGTGAAGGTTTTAAGTAGTACAATAAAATGATCAAGTCTTTCTGAAAATCAATTTTAAAATTAATCTGGAAAAAATTCTGTAGGAAGAATGAGAAAAAATTCATTTATGAATGAATAATGATGGCAGATGAGTCTCATTAGATGTTAAAAGATAATATGAAGCTATGCTAATTAACAGAACAATACCAATAAAGGAATAAGAAAATCAGTAGAAAAAGTCCAAGAATAAATTAAAATATATGTAAGGCTCTAGTATATGATAAAAGTGGCATTTTACCTCACTCAAGAGAAATTCCAGGAGAGTCTTGGGACAACTGGATAGTTATATAATGCTGAGTCCCTATCAAACATCTTATACCAAATTAAATTCTAGCTGCATCAAAGATTTAAATGCTTAAAAATCATAAAGGTACTAGAAAAAAACATGAAGTAATTATTACAATCCTAGAGTAAAAGAAGCATTCCTAAAGAGCACAGAAAGCCCCAAACCCAGAAGCCCCAAAAGCAAAGACTGCCATATTTGACCACTAAAAATCAGCTATTTCTTCATGGTAAATAGGCATGTGTGTGCACATGCATGTGCACCTGTGTGTAACACAAACAACAGCAGAAAAAATACTACGTGTAAGACACACAAAGGCATAATTTTTTCCTTAAAGAGTTAGTAATCGGCCAGGCGCGGTGGCTCACGCCTGTAATCCCAGCACTTTGGGAGGCCGAGGTGGGCTGATCACCTTAGGTCAGGAGTTTGAGAGCAGCCCTGGCCAACATGGTGAAACCCTGTCTCTACTAAAAATACAAAAATTAGCCAGGTATGGTGGCAGGCACCTGTAATCCCAGCTACTCGGGAGGCTGAGGCAGGAGAATCGCTTGAACCTGGGAGGCGGAGGTTGCAGTGAGCCGAGATCGCACCACTGCACTCCAGCCTGGGGGACAAGAGCAAGACTCATCTCAAAAAAAAAAAGAGTAACCAATAAGAAAAAAAAAAAAAGGAAAATGGGGCAAAGAATTGAAACTAGCAGTTCACTGAAAATATAAAAGGCTTAAAAACATATGGAAAGATATTCTTTTGTTCTCAAATAAATACCAATTAAGTAATCAATAAGAAATAATTTGTCATTTAAGAGATGAGAAAAGATCCAAAAAATTGATAGCCCAAAATATTAATATTGTCTTTCTAGGAATTTGTTCAAAAAATATTTAAATATATGCATACAGTATATGAAGAGAGATGACCGCTGTTCATAATAGCAAAGACTAGAACAACCTAAATGTCCAAATGTTCCATGGTAGTTAATTATATGGATAAGTACCCTAATTTCAGAAATTAAATATTAAATAAATTAAGGTACTTATCCATATAATTACCATGCAACACTTAAAAAAATGAGATACTGCTATACATGCTGATAATATACTTGGAAATTGTATCTAGGAGGAAAACAAATTTAAGGATGTAAAGTGCATTCCAACAAATTTTTTTAAAAGTTTGCATGACAAAATGACAAAATGAATAGTGTAAAGGGGCCCTAGAAAGTCTTGAGAGAAAGAGAGAGACTTTCTATTTTATATCCTTTTATGCTATTTGGCTTTTTTTTTAACCACGTACATCTATTACTTTAAAATATATATAACATTTAAAAGTAAAAACAATGTACTAAAACCAAATAAAGAAAGAAAAGAAAAGAAACCCTCTGGCAATGATATAAAAAAAGAAATCACATATAGACTTTCGTTAAGAAAATATTTACCATAAATTCCTGCATGATATCATACGCTGCTGTTTTTTCCTCAAGGATTTTCAAACAATCCTTGATGGCTGTCTGCTCATGAAAATTGAATATTAATGGCCGAATCTGAGCCAACTGATCTAGTTCTCCTTCAGAAACAATTTTGCGCGTATCTAAGGAAGAGAAAAATTCACATATGTAAGTTACTGGTATATATGTGAAGGGAGATTTTATTTTTGTTTCTGTTTCTCTTAAAGACACAGCCATTTAAGGGTAAACAGAAGTTTATTTTTCCACGGGTGAAGAGTCTACTACTTTGAAAGAGGCTTCCTTTGGAAAAATCATGGCTATTTACACCTTGAAATTATACAAAATCCACTGCCCTTGGAGAAAACTGTTCAGTGCCATAAACATAACGAATGCTGTGGATTGAGAAGTGTTCAGTTTTATAATGTGAATTGGGTATATGGATTGAAAATTATGCCAAGGCAAGAACGTACAAGGCTTGGATTAGGAAAGAGAACTTTTGCCCTCCCTGGGACCAAGTGTTTGGAAGTTCCTAGAGTCTGAGATGTGGTGATGTGGAGAGTTCACATCCTGTTTCATTACTCTGAAACAGATTGAACATGAACGCACACACGTGCACACACACCAAGGATGGAGAGGATCTATGCAATATAATTAATAAGACGGAATAATGGATACGTATGGACACTTGCAACCAATAATTGGGGAGAACATTCTATTAATATTTAATAGCACACATACAATCTTTTTATTTTTAATTATGATCTTTTAGGTAATGTTGACAGTCAAGGTTCCAAACATCTGAAATTTTATACATTATGTCCACTGGCCAAAATGCAATAAATCTAGAAGTCAACAGTAAAAGAGTATTTTAAAAGCTTCAAAATTTTGAGGTAAGATGTTCAAGTAAAACAAGTTCTCATAATCTCTTTGCAAAGCCAAATAATGTGAACAATAATCAAGTTAATACCAGCAAAAAGATATATACAAAACAATATAGCAAAAGAAAGAGGTGGAAATTTCTAAGAATCTGCACATTCCTGGGAAGCACATCTTATCTTGGTACTCCACTATATCCAGAGGCTCTTTGTAGGGTTGGAAGTGAGGGCTCTTGGTTGGGATAGACAGGCACAGAAATCCTAAAATTTCTCACAAATATCCCTAACCTTAGTATGAGAGGAGGTCTAAGCAGGCTGGAAGGGGAGATAAAATTCCCACAAGCGTAGAAGCCATTTTGATCATCTTTGATGCCCAACAGAAAAACCCTTAGATCTTCCCATTGTGTTCCACCTTTGCTAGTACAAAAGCTGGGAGAATGAAGAGAGAAAAAAATGAAAATGTAGAATGACTGTAACAAACACTGGTGTTGACTCCCCAACACTGATTCTACCCCTCTGGTTAGTTAAAGCCATTTGTCATCATTCCATAGTAAGATCCTTCCAGTGAATAATTCAGAAATAGGTAGGAGATTTGCGCCAACCATAGAAATAGGCTGGTCTTGTAAAAAAGAGAAGCAAACCTCTCTTCTACCCTCATCCCTCTGTACAGACATAAACAAAGAAGTATAAGGACCTAATTATCATAGTCTGCCCTCTTATGGCCATAAAAGGAAAGAGTATAGCAAATGTGAAAAACATAAAGAAACTATGTTCTTGATGACATTAGCAACTGATCATATTGAACCTGGAATCCTTCCTATCTCTGGGCTTCCATTATGGTAGAAAATATATATATATCTTTATCATTAACATCATTCTGAATTTGGTCTCTTTTTCTTGTAGCCTGGTCCAAGAATTCCAATCAAAGTATAAAGGTGAGGTTTCAGCTGTAGATCCTGGGAATCATTTCAGCCAGTTTACAGAAAGGGATTTGATCTAGCTATTTGGTGTTGTATCACCATTGTGTGGGCTTGAAGAACAGATGCTTCTCTCATTATGATCCAAGAACAACACTGCATAATGGTCTGCCAAGAAAAGTTCTGTCTTTGCCACAATTAGGAAACTGAGGAAGTTGGAGACCATTTTTTCTAGCCACTGGCTCCTAGATGACACCACTTCAGCAACAATGGAGAAATAAGAAAGTCACTACCACAACTGTTGGCTCTAGTAACACATCACCTTACCTATAATGAGGACCAGGAACGCCAAGCCTGCTATGATGCATAGCAATAAAATGGATGCCTCTCTACACATTTACATCTTGGCTAAGTGCATATGATCGGCAAAGCCCAAATAAGCTACCAGGAAGTCTTGAAAATGTAATTTTTCATTTTTCTGCCTGGGCCATACAGGAAGGTACACTAGGAGAAGGGTGTGACTGATATTGAGTAAGGGCATCTGTGATATCTGCTTAACATTTCAGCCACACCATGCCCTTTGAGTATCCTGCTCCTTGGCCCCTATCCCTTCAGCACACTTATCATTGTCCTCGGGCAAAATAAACAATGCAGCCCTCCAAAATACAGTTTACAAGGGAAGATGATGAGATCCAAATAAAAATGGAAATCAGGAAGAATTCATTCCTGCTCAATCAACAAAACCGAAGAGACAGAAAAAGCTATACGTGTTCATAACAAAATGGAATAAAATGTGAAACACAGAAAAAATAATAATATAATATAGCATGCAGAATAATTTTTAAAATCTATTCTAAAATGGAAGATAAGCTTAAAAAGGAAAATGAACTGTGTATGCAACATCTGTCGAAAGAAAAAGAAAAATTATTTTAAATAACAGTTCACAAGGAGATAAGAAAACAATAGAATGAGGTTTAAAAAAATTAGTTTATAAACCTAAGAAAATAAAGGTAAAACTCAAAAGTACATAATTACAGCAATAATTTATAATTAAATCGAATTCTGCAAGAAACAAAGCAGACAGTTGAAAATCAACTTATTGCCATAGGACAAAGGCATGTATACATACAGTAATGAAGACAAGAAAGGTTTAAAAACAAACAGTGAAAAGATAATGCATGTGAGGACCTCATCAGAGGCTCAGGAGAAAAGCTGCAGACAGGGTGAGGAACTTGAGAAATCCTCCTTTGTGGGGCAAGCTTGGGAAGGGGAAAAACAGCATCCACAGGAATGGCACAAAGCATGCCCAAAATGCTTTTCCCTATTTCCCTAATGGACCAAAAGCATAAGAACCTGAGAAAACGCATGAAACTCTGTCATCCTCAAGGCACAAATGAAGACTCATTAACATTGGGGGTAGGGAAGAGAGAAGAGCATCCTGGACCCAGGCCATAAGATATTCCCTACACCTGCAGAATGGACAAAATAACAAAGGAGGTACCGCCTGAGGCCTTCCTAAGACTGAGACTGAACAAGGACAGCAGAGAATGTCACCCCAACCAGGTTGGCAAGCAAGGTAATCATAAGTAAGAGCTCTCTACTGCTGGGAATTAGAGAAGATCATGGAGAAGACCTTCTCTGAGGTGCATGTACAATGGGAAGAGCTAAAGCAGAGGGTGGAGTAAACACTGAGGCAAATCCTCTACATGTAAGGTAACACTGGAGGAATTTGAAGCTGGTGGTGCACTAAGGGTAACCATAGCAACATCAAACCCAAGCCCTGCTGCATTACTGAGTAAATTGATGCAACTCCTCACACTGAAGGCCTACCAACAAAAGAGTCATGTCCATCCCTATTTACCTCAGCGTCTAGAACTTAGCTAAGAAATACTACAATAGCTCCCCCTTAGCTGCAGGGGATATGTTCCAAGACCCCCAGTGGATGCATGAAACTCTGGATAGTATTGAACCTGATCGTCATCAACTGAAACATATTTTTGTTCATGTCTTCCACCCATAAATTTAATGCCTTTTCCATCTTAAGTAAGCATGTATCATGCACTGTGGCCATAACTTTGGCACTCTGATGTGCAACAGCAAAACTTGGATAGAAGATTCATTCTTACCATAGGTCTACGCAACTTTAGCATATGATTTTTTTCTTTCCTTATTAAGTCAAGAACTTTCACCTTTTCATGTAAAGAAAGCACTTTACAGCTTCCCTTTGGCATATTCAAATTGCCAGCATCACTACTCTTTGGGGCCATTACTAAGTAAAATAAGGGTTACTTGAACACAAGCACTGTGAGGCCAAAACAGTAGATCTGATAACCAAGATGACTACTAGTTGACTAAGAGACAGGTAGCACATAGGGCATGAATATGCTGGACAAAGGAATGATTCACTCCCAGGCAGGACAGAGCAGGACAGTGTGAGGTTTCATCACACTACTCAGAACAGTGTGCAATTTAAAACTTATTGTTTATATCTGGAATTGTCCACTTAACATTTTTAGTCTGTGGTTGACTGCAGGTAACTGAAACTATGAAGAGTGAAACCATGGATAAGACATTTTTACTTCTATCTCTAGACTATACAATATTCAGTTTTCAACCAAAAAATTATAGAGTACATACAGAAGTAAGAAAAAGAGAAAAAAGTTGCCAAGAGACAAAGCAATCAACAGAACCAGACAGAGATATAACATATGTTAAAACTGTCAAGTGATGAATTTAAAATAGTGATAATCAATGTGTGAAAAGGCAGTGGGAAAAGTAGACAATATACATGAACAGATGGAGAATTTCAATGGAGAGATGGAAGCCATAAAAATAATAAAGTGGAAATGCTTAAAGTAAAAAAAATATTGTAAGAAATTAAGCATGTTATTGATAAGCTCATCAGTAGATTTCACAGAGGCAAGAAAAGAATTCATGAATTACAAAATAGATCAAGAGGAATTATCCGAATTAGAACACAGAGAAAAAAGGTAGATGAGGGGCAGAGGCAGAGAAGAAGAGACCATCCAAGAACTACAAACCAATATCAAACAGACTAATATATTATACCTGTAAATGGAATCCCAAAATAGAAGAGAAGGAGAATTGGGCAGAAGAAATATTTGAAAAGATAATAACTGAGAATTTTTTCCAAAATGAATGAAAGACACCAAGCCTCAGATCCAAAAGCTCATCAAAAACAATATAAGCCAGAAGACAATTGAGTGACAACTTTAATGTAATCAAAGAAAAAATCAAAATAAAGAAATTAAGATTTCAGTAAATACATGACTAATTATAAAAGCTAGTATTCTTGTAACAATAATGTGTAACTTCACTTTTTCTTTTCTACATGATTTAAGAGATGACTTTTTCCTAAATTTATTAGCCTAAAAATAAAAAAATTATCATAACTTTAGATTGTAAATCAACATTTTGTTTTCTACATGAGAAACTAAAGCATTAAAAACATTATTTTATGTTTTGGAACACATAATATATAAAAATGTAATTTTGTGACAACAAATGAAAGAGATGGGGTCAAAACTGTCAAAGGTCCACAGTTTTTTTTTTTTTTGTATTTTACTGAATTAGGCTGGCATAAATTCAAATTAGAGTGATAAGTTTAGGATGTTAAATATAATGCCCATGGTAACCACAAAGAAAATAGCTAAAAACAATACATAAAGGAAATTTTTTAAGAATTTAAATATTTCATTACAAAAGGCAACTAAATACAAAAGGAGACAGTAAGGCAAAAAAAAATGAGGAACAAAAAAGCTACAAGAAATATTTTTTTAAAATAGCAAAATGACAGAAGTCTCTCCTTATCAGCAATTACTTTAGATATAAATGAATTAAACTCACCAATTGAAAGAAAGATTGGCAGAATGGATTAAAAAATAAAAACATGATCCAACTATACACTGTCTACAAAGGACTCACTTTAGATCCAAAGACACGAATAGGTTAAAAGTAAAAGAAATATTCCATGCAAACAGGAACCAAAACAGAGCATGAATAGCTATATTAATATCAGATAAAATCGATTTTAATTTTAAAAAGTTAAAAATGACAAAGAAGGACATTATATATCATAAAAGGTTCAATACAGCAAGAACATATAACAGTTATAAACATTTACACGCCTAGTAACAATCAAAATACACAAAGCAAAAATTGGCAGAAATGAAGAGAGAAACAGTTTTACAATAATAATTGAAGATTTCAATATCCCATTTTCATTAGTGGATAGAACAATTAGAAGTAAGAAAAGGGAGGACTTGAACAATATAATAAACAAAGTATATCTAACAGATACATACAGAATCCTCTGTGCAACAACAGACCACATATTTAAGAACACATGGAATATTTTGCATGTGTTAGGCTATAAACTAAGTATCAGTCAATTTTAAAACACTGGTATCACAAAGAGTTTCTTCTCAAAATACAAGAGATAAAGTTAGAAATCAAATATAAGAAAAACTGATAAACTTACAGATTTGTGAAAATTGAACGACATAATTTTAAAACACCAATGGATCAAAGAAGGAATTACAAGGGAAATTAGAAACATTTAGAAATGAGTGAAAACATAACACAACATATCAAAACTATGGGACACAGCAAAAGCAGGGTTAAGGGGGAAATTTATAGCTATAAATGCTTACATGAAAGAAACAAGGCCTCGAATAAACAAACTAGCTTTACAACGTAAGGAATTACAAAAAGAAGAACAAACTAAACCTAAAGCTAACAAAAGGAAGAAAATAGTAAAGATTAGAGCAGAGATCAAAATATAAAATATAAAAAAGAGAAAAATCAATGAAACCAAAAGCAAGTTCTTCAAAAATATCAACAAAATGATGTGATGAACCTTTAATTAGATAAACTAAGATAAAAAGAGAAAAGACTCAAACTACTAAAATCAGAAATAAAAATGAGGACATTACTACCAATTCTAAAGAAATAAAAAAGATTATAAGGGAGTACTATGAGCAATTGTATGCAGAAAAACTGGATAACCTCAATGAAATAGACAAATTTATAGAAACACAAAACCTACCAAAACCAAACCACAAAGAAACAGAAAATCTGAACAGACCTATGACTAGTAAGGTGATTGAATAAGTTATCAAAACTATCCCAAAAAAGTAAGCCCTGGATCCAATGCCTTCACTGTTAAATTCTATCAAACATTTAAAGGAGAACTAACACCAATACTTGTCAAACTGTTTAAAAAAATTAAAGAGTAGGGAACACTCCCTAACTTAATCTATGAGGCCAGCATTATCCCAATATCAAAGCCAGACAATTATCCTACATGAAAAGAAAACTAAAGGCCAATATCCATCTTAAACATTGATGTAAAAATCCTCAACAAAATAGTAGCAAAGCAAATATTTAGCGGCATATTAAAAAGATCATACACCATGACTATGTGGGATTTATTACTGGAATGCAAAGATGACTTAACATACAAAAATCAAGGTAATACAATACGCTAACAGAAAAAAAGGCATGCTTATCTCAGTTGATGCAGAGAGAGTATTTGACAAAATTCAACATCCTTTCAAGAATATATTCTTTTTGAGACAGAGTTTCACTGTTGCGCAGGCTGAAGTACAGTGGTGTGATCCCAGATCACTGCAACCTCTGCCTCCTGGGTTCAAGTGACTCTCCTGCTCTGCCTCAGCCTCAGCCTCCCAAGTAGCTGGGATTACAGGCAACTGCTACCACGTCCGGCTAATTTTTGTACTTTTTCTTTAGTAGAGACATGTTGCCTAGGGTGGTCGTGAACTCCCCAACCTCAGGTGACCTGCCTGCCTTGGCCTCCCAAAGTGCTGAGATTACTGGCATGAGCCACCATGCCTGGCCTATTTGTTTGTAGAAAAAAAATTCAACAAACTAGGAACATAAGAAAAATACATAAACATAATAAAAGTTATGTATGGAAAACCCACAGCAAATATACTCAATGTTGAAAGAGTAAAAGCTTTTCCCCTAAGATCAGAAACAAGGCACGGATGCCACTTTTGCCACTTCTATTTGACATAATATTGGAAGTCCTAGTCAGAGAAATTAGGAAAAAAAAGAAACAAAAGCCATCCAAACTGGGGAAAGCAAAAAGTAAACATCTCTGTTTGCCAATGATATGATATTATATGTAGAAAATCCTAAAGATTACTGGATTTTACACACACATATTCACACACACACAGAGTTAAAAAAAATAAATTCAGTAAAGTAGCAGGATACAAAGTCACACACAAAAATCAGTTGCATTTATATACACTCAGATGAACAATCTGAAAATGAAATTAAGAAAACAATTTCATTTACAATAATATATAAAAAGAAATAAAATACTTTGAAATTAACTTAGCCAAGAAGGGGAAGGGAAAGATTTGTACAAAGAGACCTATAAAACATTGCTGAAAAAAGAATTAAACAAATATATCTCATGTTCATGGTTTGGAAGATTTAATATCATTAAGATATCAGTACTACCCAAAACGATCTACAGATTCAATGTAATCCTTATCAAAATCCCAATGACTCCTTCTGCAGAAATAGAAAAACTCATCCTAAAATTCATATGGAATTTCAAAGGACCCCAAATAGCTAAAACAATCCTGAAAAATATGGGGAAAAAAGACTCACACTTCTTGATTTCAAAACTTACTACAATACTACAGTAATCAAAACAGTCTGGTACAGGCATAGACAGACATATAGGCCAAAGGAATAGAAGAAAGAGTCCAGAAATAAAACCCAAATTATTTTCAAAAAAGTTGTCAAGGCCATTTAATGGGAAAAACACAGTCTTTACAACAAATGGTGCTGGGAAGCTGGATATCCACATGCAAAATAATAAAATTGGATCTTTACCGAACGTCATATACAAAAATTAACTTGAAATGGATCCATTACCTAAATGTAAAAGCTAAAACTATAAAACTCTTACAAGAAAGCATGGCAATAACTTCAAGACATTGGATCTGGCAATGATTCCAAAGGTACAAACAAATTTTAAAAAATATAATTAATAATACTGAAATATACACTTAAAATGGATAAGATAGTAAATGTTATGTTATGTAAGATTTACAACAATAAAAATAATTTGGAGAAAATACCTCTAAGTAACCCACAGATCAAAGGGGAAGTCATAAGAGAAATAGGGAGACATTTTGTTAAAAATGTGTAGATTGTATTTTTTAGAAAAGTTTTACATGAAAAAAAAATGAGCACTTAGAATTCCCATATATCCCCTGCCAAAGTTTCACTTATTATTAATGTTTTACATTTGGATGGTACATTCATTAGTATTGAACCAATATTGATACATTTTTGTTAACTAAAGTCCATCCTGTATTTTGGTTTTCTTAGATTTCCTTAATATCTTTTTACTGTTTCAGGAGCCCATCTAGGATAAAACATTACATTTAGTTGTCAAGTCTCCTTGGGCAACTTTTGGCTATGATGGCTTCTCAGATTTTCCTTGTTTTTGATGACCTTGATAGGTTTGAAGAGTACTGGCCAGGTGTATTCTTCAATGCCTTACTATTGAAATTTGTCTAATTTTTTCTCATGATTAAGACTGGGGTTATGGGTTTTCAGGAATAAGATCACAGAGGTAGAGTGCCATATTTATCCATAGTATCAAGGGTATATTATATCAACATGATGTATGACAGTTGATGGTGACCTTGATCACATGGCTGCAGTAGTGTTTATTAGGTTTCTCTACTATGCAGTTATTCTTTGTACTCCTCTGGCCATACTGTACTCTTTGAAAGAAAGTCAATATGTGCAACCCACACTTAAGAGGTGGGAAATTATGATCCACTTCCTTTAAAATTGAATATTAACATAATTTATCAGGAATTCTTCTGCATGGGAGATTTGTCTCTTCTTCCCCATTTATTAACATATTTAATCATTTATTTATATCAGTATGAACTCATGGATGATGATTTTATACTTCATACTATAATCCACTGCTACATTAGATTGTTGTTCAAATTGTTCCACCTTTTGCTACTTAGAATGAGAAAACATTATAAATTGAATGAAAATAAAAACACCTCAAAATGTGTGGGATGCAACTAAAGCAGTACTTACAGGAAGATTTGTTGTATTAAATACTTGTACTACTGTTGTCCCTCTGTATTTGCAAGGAATTGGTTCCAGGACCTCCCACAGATACCAAAATCCTCAGATGCTCAAGTCCTTTACACAAAATAGCATAGTATTTGCATATAATCTAAGCACACCCTCTCTCTCAAATACTTTAAATCATGTCTAGATTACTTATAATACCTAATACAACATAAATGCCATGTAAATAGTTGTTATACTATATTTTTAAAATTTGTAATTTTTTGTTGTTGTATTGTTATCTTTGTTCCTAAAATATCTTTGATCCATAGTTGGTTGAATTTGTAGATGCAGAATCTACAGATAAGGAGGGCCAGTTGTATCTATGAAAAAGAAATATATCAATAATCTAAGTTTCCACCTTAATAAATTAAGAAAAGATAAAATCCAAAGCAAGAAGGAAAAAGGAAATAATAAAGAGCAGAAATCAATGAAATTGAAATCAATGAGAAAGTAAGGGAAACTAAAAGCTAGTTCTTGGAAAATATCAATAGAATTGATACAGTCTCTAGCCAAACTGATCAAGAAACACAGAACAAAGACACATTTTATGAAATTGAAAAAAAAGAGAGGTGATCAGTTAAGATAAGACATCAAAAAGTTAATGAGGGAATATTACAAACAACTCTAGTCCCATAAGTTAGACAATTTACATGAATGGGACAAATTCACTGAAAAATACAAACTGCCAAAGCTCATTAAAAAAAAGAGAGACACCTAAATAGTCCTATATCAATTAAATAAATTGAATATTGTTATGGGCTGAATTGTGGCCCATATGTGGCCGTATTTGGAGATAGGGTCTATAAAGAGGTGATTAAGTTAAAATGAAGTCATTAGAATAGCCCTTAACGTAATATAACTGATATCCTTATAAGAAGAGATTAAGACACAGATATACACAGTGGGAAGACCATGTGAAGACACAGAGGAAAGACGGCCATCTGCAAGTCAAGGAGAGAGGCCTCAGAAGAAATCAACTTTGCTGACATCTTGATGTTTGACTGCTAGCCCACAGAACTGTAAGATCCATTCTTGGATATTTTGTTATAAAAGCACCCCCCCAAAAAAAAAAAAAAACTAAAAACTAAAAACTAACACAAATATGTATTTAGAAACCTCACAAATTCTGGGTCCAGTTGGCCTCACTGGTGAATTTTAGCAAACATTTAAGGAAGCAATACTACCAATTTTATACAAACTTTTCCAGAATATTGAAGAGGAGAAAACACTTCCCAAATAATTTTATAAGGGAAGCATCACTCTGATACTAAAACCGGAAAAAGATATCACAAAAAAAGAAAATTACAGATGAATATCTGTCATGAACATAAACACAAAAAAAGTCTTCAGGAAAATACTAGCAAATCAAATCGTAAAACATAAAAACAATAATACACCATCACAAAGTTGGGCTTATCCCAGGAATGCAAAGCAGGTGAGATATTTGGAAATCAACCAAAGTAACTCATGGTATATCAACAGGCAAAAAAAAGAAAAACTATATGATGATCTGAATAGATGCAGAAAAAGCATTTAACAAAAGTAAGAGTCCATTCATAATAACTCCGGGAAACTAGGATAATAGGAAGGCTCCCTTAATCTGATAAATGGCATTCACAAAAATACTACAGCGAACATTATACTTTATGATGAAAAACAGAATGCTTTCTCCCTAAAATGGAGAATCTGGAAAGGATGTCCACTCCCTTTCCTCTTATTCAACATTGAACCAAAAGTCCTAGCGAATGCAATAAGTTAGTAAGTCAAAAAAAAAAAGAAAGAAAGAAAGAAAGAAAAGAAATGAAAGGCATATACATTGGAAAGGTAGAAAAATAAAACTGTGTTTATTCACCAACATGAGTATCTACTTAAAAAAATTCCAAAAAATATATTTAAAAGGCCCTAGAATTAATGAGCATTTAGGAAGGTTGAAGGACACATTGGTAATATACAAAAATCAATCATATTTCTATCTACTATCAATGAACAATAGAAGTTAAAATATTTTTCATAAGTCTCATTTACAATAGCACCAAAACATGTGAAATATTAGATATAAATCTAACAAAACATATATACAATCTATATGTTAAGACTGCAAAACAAACAAACACTGATGAAAGAAATCAATGCAGACCTAAACAGAGTGAGGAATGCTTCCGTCAGGAGAAACAACAACAAATCCGTTAAAGTGGAATTTGAGAACGCCACCAGGACATTTTGGGTTCCTCATATGCTACTGAATCATCAGGGAAAGGGGGATTACTACACTGCCTAGTGTGCTGGATTCCAAGTATTAAGGGGAAACTGGGCTGCTGCTGTCCAATGGAGTAACGAGGAATACGTCTGCAATGCAGGTGATCCTCTAGGGTGTGTCAAGGTGATTAAGTAAACAGAAAACTAGAACCACCCAATCTAGGCAGAACTACTAATGACTTAGATCTTGAGGAATGAATGTGTGGGTCACCCTATCAGACAAGGAACCACAACCAAATGGGATGTTTGCTGAGCTGAAAGAGAATACCAGACAGGTGTAAGACGGCAGTGATCAAAACCAGATACAACCATGTGACCAGCTGCATAAACAGGGATAAAATATTGTGAATTTTTCTTTCTTTTTTGATATGCATATTTTATACATATATATATATCATATTTTTGTTTTCTTTTAAAAATATTAAAGGGAATGTGAATCAGTTGGAAAAGAAAGAATATCACTCAAGACAAAAAAGAGACACTTTTGGAGAAGGGGAGAGAATGTTTTCAGTTGTACACAGATTAGTTTTATCACTGTAGATGCAAGCATAAGGTTGTCCTTATTTGGATATTAAGTAACATTTAAAAGGGTGTATATAGGTGCCAGGCTGATATAGGGTGAACTGTGATAGCTTTATAATATGTTGACATGGCTAGGCTGGACCACTTTTCCCAGAATTCTGTTCTCTGAATGTTTCCAGCTAAAACAGGGCACAAGCGAGGTTCTCATGTCAGATCTGGAAGGTGAACATGGGGCAGCAGCTATTCTGTGCTCAGATGCACTATGGATGATCTCCTGACTCCCCTCATTCTATATGTGGAAGGAAGAACTTAAAATCACAACAGTGCCAATCCTACCTGAATGAATATAACTGGCATGTCATTCTATCTAAATTTCAAACAAGTTTACACAGGAATGAACAAAATAATTTAAAATCACCGATGCAGCAAAAACTTGCCCAAATAGCTACAAAAATGTATTTTTTAAAAAATTAGAGGGAGGATTTTCCTTTCCAGATATATTTAGAATAAGTAGAATCAAAACAGAATAATATAATATGTCCACAGGAACAAACAAGTCAGTTAGTGAAAAAAAATTTAGAGAATACAAAAGGATCAAACATTTTTGGAAACTTAATATGTGATAAAAGTATATATAAATTCATTTGGGAAATGTGGTTTACTTAGTGAATAGTGCTGGTATAACTGTCCAGTCATATGAAAGAAAATATAGTTTTCTATACCCCTATAATATTTAGCAATAAACTGCAGATAGATTCGTGATCTAAGCAAAATAAATGAATAAAAATTCTGAAGAAAATTTAGGAGAATATTTGCATGTTTTTCCTGTAAAGAAGACCTTTTTAAACATTTTAGAAATTAAGAATGTTCATGAAAGTTTCCCTTCTTAAGGTATAGAATTGAGGGTTACAATTTATAGCACATTTGTCAGACAGACAACATGTTAAGATTTCCAACATGTGAAGAGTTCCTACAAATTAATAAGAAAAACAATGAACAAAGTTTATAAATATGCAAATCCAAGAAGAAGTTAATAAACATATATTAAGATACTTGATCCTAGCTGGGCACAGTGGCTCACGCCTGTAATCCCAGCACTTTGGGAGACCAAGACGGGTGGATCACAATGTCAGGAGTTCAAGACCAGCCTGACCAACATGGGGAAACCTGGACTCTATTAAAAATACAAAAATTAGCCGGGCATGGTGGCTAAGCTTTTGGAAAGGAATGTGGTATTGCCCATTAAAATATAAAACGAACATAAACTTTGACTTAACTATCTTACTTTAGGGAATCTAACCAAAATCAAAGTACCAGTACTTAGGAAATACGTGTAAATATATATATTGCAGAAAAAGTCAACTGGAGAATGGGTGAATATATTATGGTATTTCCATACAATGAAATATTAGACAACTATTAATCCTATGTCAGAATATGTCTTAACCTATATAATAATATAGTTTAAATTTTAAAAACTATGGTTGCAGGGTAATTGTAGAGTTGCAGAGCCCACATCAATTTTTATTTAAACTTTAAACAGAAAATCTGTTTTTATATCTTTGTGTATTCTTAGATAAACTATTATATTGGTTGCCTCTGAATCAGGATTCAGGATGATGGGAGGAAATTATTAACTTTTTCTCTATATCATTCTATATTGATTTTCACTAAAATATTAGCATACATTAACTTTATAATTTAATTTTTTAAAATTTTGGCTTTTAAAATATTTTATTAAATGTTAAATAGGTACAAAATAATAGTTAAGTAAAATATCTTTAAGAACAATACATACCCAATTTAAAACAGAACATTAGCCCCTGATGCTCCTGTGTCCCCTTCCCAGACCTCATTCCTTGTCCTCCTCCCTCAGGGAATAATCACTATTCTGAATTGTACTATCATTCCTTTTGTTTGTTTTGTTTACCCTTTATGCTGTTTTGCATATTTCACAAATTTATATAGATTACATTATTTTGTTTTAAATCTTGACTTTTTTGCTAAGACTGCATCTGGGTTTATTCATCTTCACATTAAACAAAATACAATATCTAATTCATACATGCTGGTGTTGACAGATATCTGAGTTCTTTACAGTTGAAGTCTATTAAAAACAAGCCTAGTATGGACATTCTTGCATATGTCTTCTGGTAGAAAAAGGAAAGAGTTTCTCTAAGCTAAATAACCAGGAAGGAAATTGCTAGGACATATGGCATGTGCACACTAAAAAAATACCAAATTATTTTCCAAAATGGTTTCCATCAAGCCACATACTCACCAATATCAACTATTATCACATTTTTAAAAATGGAAACAATCTAGTCAGTGTAAATTATTATTTCACTATGATTTAATTTTCACTTCCCTGATTCGAAATTAGGTTGGACCACTTTTTCATATTTTCTCTTCTGTGAAATGTTTGTTAATGTGTTTTGCCCATTTTTCTATTTGGTTATCTTTTACTTACTAATATGCAGTTTCTTATATTTTCTAGGCATTAATCCTTTGTGAGCATAGACCTCAGTAACAGACCCTAGGAGGAGCCTAACCATAGTCCTAAACTGAAACTGAAAAGGAGGGTACTAAGAAAGAAAAAAGCAGTGTCTATCTACTTTTCCCTAGGAACTGGCCTTACTCTAACAGCTAAGAAATGGTATTTCCTGTTTGCAAAGTAATGTGTTCTTATTTTTATTTTAAAAATATATTTATATTCAAAATTCCACTTCTGCCTAAATATAGAAAGCTAGTATGAGCATCACTCCTACCCTAACAATATACATAAGTTGAAAAAAAAACACTAAATCAAAATTTTATTGAACCCATTAGAGAGCTGAGGTTGTAGGGCAACCAAGTAGTCTGAAATCTAAGGAAAGACAGACTCTCCTAAGGAGTGACAGGACATGAACACTGGCTCCCTGTGGCAGTTCAAGGGAGAAAGAGATACCAGGCACTATACAAATGGGAAAGAAGTATTCAGACATAAAATGTAATGCACTGCTGACAGCTGGATGTGGGCCAGTGTGACAGTACAGAACAGCGTAAAGCCACAGACACAAAAAGAATTTGCACACATTCACAGACTCAAGTTCACAGACCTCCAACAGGTGCTCATAAGAAAGACTGAGAGCAGAGCAGGAAACGGGAAGAACCATTCTCTCAGAAGGGTAGGCTTGGAGGAGGGGAGCTACTGTCATGGTCGAAAATGCGTAAAGCCCCACTTAGACCTATTTCTCCCAGAACAAAAGCCTTACACTGCAGGAGGAGGAGCAGCAATCCCTGCTTTGTATAAGTGTATACCCACTGCAGTTGGAAACAGAGCAAACAAAATCCATCTATTCCTGGAGAAGGTGCAGAAAACAGTCCTAAGCCCAGGATTTAATGCCATTATTATTACAAAACTCCTACCACTACACTAAGTGAAGGGGAGGAAACCTTCTCCACTGTAGACTTGCCAAAGGTGTCAGGCAGAGTCTGGATGCCATGAGAAGGGGTAGTATCACTAACCAAGCCTGTCACTGAGGACCAGGGACAGAGGACCTGCCCAAGGCTGAGAATGGAATAGGACAACAAAGAATGACTTGGCCCTCCCTCCCCAGGCACGCAAGCACCAGTCTACTGCTGGAAGACAGGCAGGAGAAGGAAAGAAAGCCCTTCTAAAGCACAGGCACACAGCGGAGGCCTAAAGCTGAGGACGAAACAGGAAGAGACCAAAAATAAAAACTCCTTAGCACCCCAGCTGACACCCTGCGCACAAGCTAAATCCTAAGGAATTCTAAGCCAATGGTTCACCATAGGTAATGAGAGCAACACAAAACCAAAACCCAGCTCATGTCCTAAATGGCCTACCAGAGGAATAGGCATGACTATTTCTAGGCATAAATTCTATTTACTTTAGTCTCTTTTTTTCTACACCCAGTACCAACACTCAATCAGATATATAGACACATAATGAAGCTGCAGCAGCTGCAACAACAGAAGCCAGTGTCAAAAAGCAAAGCAATCACAGAAAAAAATATCAGCAACAACCCATCTGTCAGAGTTATCCACCAGGGAATTTTAAATAACTATCATTAACATGTTAAGCTCTATGAAAAATGCAAACAAAACGCATTAACAACAGAGACGGAATCTGTAAGAACGTGTCAAATGGAAATGTTGTACATAAAAAACACTGTGTGCTTTCAATGGGTTCATTAGTAGACTTGACACAACCAAGAAAGGAATCAGTAAACTTGAAGAAAGGTTGACAGAAATTACCTAACTGAAATACAAAGAGTAAGAAGAGTAGGAGAAAAAAAAAGTAAAAAGCAACAAATAATGTTAGTACAGCTTCTTTGGAATACAGTTTGTCTGTTATACACTTATGACCCAGCAATCCCATTCCTAGATATTTACCTTAAAGTAATGGAAACTTATGTTTACACAAAGTTTGTGAATATCTGTAGTACTTTTATCCATAATTGCCAAAATCTGGAAACAACACAGTGTCCTTCAACTGGTGAATGGAATACTATTCAATAAAAAAGAAATTAAATACTGATAAATGCAATGACACAGATGAATATCAAAAGAATTATGCTAAGTGAAAGAAGTTGGACTCAAAAGGCTACATATTTATGATTCCATTTATACAATACCTTGAAAAAGACAAAAGTAAAGAGAATGAAAATAGATTACTGGTTGCTAGGCACCGGTGGTAGGGTAAAGGGTTAACTATAAAAAAATACAAGAGAAATGTGGGGGGAGATAGAAATGTACTATACCTTGATTGTGATGGTAAACCTTGGTCAAACCTCATAGAACTGTATGCTAAAAGGGTGAATTTTACTGTATGCCTCAGTTTAATTAAGCATGTTTTAATTAATTAAAAATTATGTCTCGTTTTATAAAAGCATATTCTTATAAACTATTTTTGTAGGAGATCTGCATTTTAATAATTGCATAAGGTGATATTTTCTTAACTGGGTTTGACATTTTTCAAATAAAGTCATTAGAGAAGATGTTTCCAACATTTGATGGGATGTTGGTTATGGATGACCTCTAAGATCCTCTCCAACTCCAAGGTTTTTGAGGTGTGCATGTGATCCCCCAAGTTTACAAACACAAATTTTATAAATATATATATATATATATATATATATATATATATACACACATACACATATATGTTAAGTATATATTCATAGTTCTAATTACATTTATATTATATATACATGTAAATACGTATACACAAAAAGTTCTGAAATATTCTTCAGTATTATAATTTATTATATATTTGTTATTGTCTTTTTTTCCACTATAAACATGTGATAATTTGTAATCCAAAAATGTTATTATTTTACTTACAAAGCATATATTGTGCAACAAATTTTTAAAAAGGAAATAAGGAAGCAGGTTGTTATTTTTCAAATCTATAAAATACCTAGCTTTAAAAAAATGGATTTTACTAAACTGACATATTTAATACTTTAAAATACTTGAAGAAAGGACAGGAATTAGCCATTGTGAATATGGGGTGTGGAGCATTTTTTTAATTGCATTTTTTTATTTTTAAAAGAAAATCCTAGAAAACCATATTTTCCCATTTTTGAAGTTTTCCCTAGCTCTTTCTTTCATTTGTATTAGAAATATCTTTGTGCATATCTCTAAAATAGAGCCTCAACTTGCTACTACAAATAGGATGATGTCATACCAGAAAGTAGAGGGGAGAGAGCCTGTGATGGCCCTGCAGCCTCCTCATCCTCACTGCTCCACCTGTCTCTTCCGAAGGGGCCTCTGGCTGTCCACATGCTGGGATCACTGCCACTAGAAAAGAAATGTATATATTTGCCCATGGTTTCAAAGAATATATACATTTGAGAAATACTTTCTAATCATCTTCATTGATTATTTAATTGACATTCATTTCCATTTCAATTCAGCCACCCACTCCCATTGTCATCACCTGAAACTGGCCCACTTGTGAAATAATTCCCAAATCCCAATGTCTGATCACAAACTCCATCTCCTCCTACTACTTTTACCTTGCAAACTAGTCGCCTCAGATCCATCCACTTATTTACCTTCTCCCCTCCTTTACCTAGACTGTGGGAGGGAAGTACTCGGGTCACTGGGCTTTCTAATATCGGCAGAGAGCCGTTTGGAAAATACCAGCATGTCCCTGGTTGGTTTCCTGTACCACTCTTCCATGGCAGCAAATTCCAAGCCACCATCTTGTTATAGTCCTTATTTTAATACTCTCTCTGACTTAGTAAAAATGTAACTTCTTCTAGAAAATGCAAGCCAGAAAATAGAAATTCTTTCAATTTATTATCTTTTAAAACATTTACTTAGATGCATCAATGTCTTTCTTATTCCTTGCTTTCTGCCTGTTCAAAATTCCTCCTTCCGTGTTCTTAACCAGATTCCTTCTGCCTCCTCTAAGGTATTTTTCTATAACTTATTTTTTTTTAACATATCGTGAATTTCTCCCTATCTACAAATTCTTTCATATCATAAGAATACACAATTTTCTGTATCTTAAAAATAGGAAATGCTTTAAACTCTGTCTAGCTACTAATTGTTAACAGATTTTTCAAATCCTAGCCCATACCCACTTTGTTTCCTTTGCAACGTCTCCATACTCAACTGACTCGCTAATGCTATTAACTTGGCTCTTGTTGCACTTTCATTTGCAACCCTACCTAGCAAAATCCTCCTAATTTGACTTCTGCATCTAAACTTCAATGTTTAGAGAAAATTCTTCCTAAAATACAAACTTAATTACACCTGCCCACCAATATCAGGATAAATCAAGGCCCCTTATCAGACACATAAGTTTAGGATATTGGCCAGGTGGCCTCTGTCTATTTTTCCATCACCATCTCCACTGATTTCCTACATGTACTGTATGCTTTAACCTTAGCAAAATAAATGCCTTTTTCTTTTACTTCTGTAAGGAAATTCGGGTTTCTTACTCTTTTCTCCTTCTAATTTTTTTCTTGGATTACTGTAAACATTTAATTAATCTCCACTGACTGCCACTTCCAGCTATCCTCACCTTGCCACCAGCATTCCTCCTTCTGGATGGATAAATAGATAGTTGCATGAATAAAACAAAAAGACCTTCCGTATGCATCCTTTTGATTTTAACAGACTGAATAAAATGTATACTCAGCTTCACATATATGGCATTACTTCCCTCTCCAGCCCACACTGTATTTTGGGCTCCACCTCTCATCTTCTGCAGCTTCCTAGCATTCCACCTCACATACACCCTACGACTCTTGGCACCTAATATTTCTCCCCATTACCCCTAAGATATTTTCACAACTCCTTACCCTCGCTCAAACTTCTCCCTCTTGCCTGAAATGTTCTTCTCTTTTTCACCTGCTAGGTTTCTATTTAATTAAATCCTAAATTCAACCAAAATATCTTTTCTTCAAAGAAGCTTGTGGGAAACCTCCCTCATGCATAGTCAATCTTCTGTACCCACAATCTTTGGATTTTTACTCTAAAATAATATTTACTATGTTGTACATCAATTTGTCTTTTATATGTCTGTTTCCCTAATTAAACTGTGAACTAAAGGGCAAAAAATATATAGTAGTTTGTATTTGTGTACAGTGCTTAGTGTATCACAGAATCTCAAAATGTCTTTGGAATTACTATTATTTGTTTAATGCACTTCTGAAAATTGTACATATAAATTTCATACAATACGCATACAAAAACACATAATATAAAGAATATACACATTCTTATACAGTGCTATTCCAGTGAGGGTAGCTAATATTACTGATAAATCTCTAAGAAAATATGGCTTAACAAAATGTTTCCTCATTTGATGTTTTTGCTTATAACACCTAAATTTGAACATTTTATAAGCATGAAAACTTGTTTCTTTGTTTTCCTAATGGAAATTTACTGTTCTTCAGGTACTTTAAATTTTTTAAATATATACTACCAGAAATTCACCATACTAATAAACCTGTTGTTTATACCATATAATTTTCTTTCTGAAAACAGATTACATTTCTAATAACATTTAGTGCTGTACCGTGAGCTTCATGCTACCTCAAGTACACTGACCACTTCAAAAGCTCCAAGCATATTTGCAAAAGCTTTGACGCCATGTAACTATTGAGAGGATAGAGAAATCGAATCCTTCAAGAATACTTTTCCCTTATGTTAATTACCATATTTTTGAGATCATAAACATATTTCTAAGAAAGCTAAATCAAGTTTATAAAAAGCTATATCTTGAAAAATTAAACATTTCAGGGCCATTATTCACTGTCTCCATGCAGAGGGCTAGCTATGAATATAAGTAGCATAAACAGAAAACCCACTAAATAAGCATATTAGTTATACCTTTCTGAAGGCTCTTCAAAAACATCCTCATAATCATTATGTGGGAAATTCCGAAGAGAAAGTTTTACCTTCTCTGAATTAACTTTATTTTCAAAAACCTACAGACATAAGAAAGGAAACAAATTATAGCACTGGTTTTAGAAAAATATGGTTTAAAACGTGATTTCTATAGCTACTTAAGAAGAGCAAAAAGATCTGCAATAATGGAATTATAACCACAATCACATAGTATAATGTCTGCTCCTAGAAAATCACTTAATTGTATATCTCCCTATTAAATATCTTCCAATCTGTCAAAACAGTGTAGAGTACTATGTAAACAGAAGTTATTTATATTGAATTGCTCAAGTGATTTTTCAAAACTAAATTTTTAAAAAGCTTCATTTGAGAAAAAATAGATTTATTACTTCAGCCCAGAAGAGATTTTCTTATAAGTGTTTACCATGTTTTGTTTACTGTGAATATAAAATTCCTGCCACTAAATTTATCTTTACTTTAGTACTTGCACCATCTAATCTACTAATTCTAAGTATTTCTCCACATTCCACTGCCCAATTTTGCACCGGGCAGTGGACTTCAGTCTTGATAACTCGCAGTGCCAGTGCCCCAGCCACCACATACACGTTTCCTTCCTTCCTTGTCTAATACTGTCTTGCCATACTTGGCCTTCTATTTTCTCAAGAACATCTTTTGAATCAGCTGATCAAATCTCATTCACACACAGAAATAACTTTGGGACTATTATTGAAATTAAGTAATATGAATTTTTTAATTTAAATTGGAAATAAGTGATGTATTTATATATTAAGTATCATTATCCACTAATATGATATAGCTATCCAGCAAAAACATTATAAAATATTCTCAATAAAGACAATGTATACCTTTTCTTAGATTTACTCCTAAACACCTTAAGTGGCACAATTGTAAATGTAATGTCATAGAGCAGACCTTTTATTTGATACACACTGCTCAATCCACAAACCACATGTTTTTACATCTAGCATTTTTGTGTACATTCCATTCTAAATACTTTAAACTTCCATTATGATTTCTTCTTTGACTAATGAGTTTGTTAGTGTTTGCTTGGTGTATGTTTAATTTTTACTTTAAAATCACAGGAAAATGTCCACCTAAGATTCCTTCTCATTAAACTATGTAGCTACAATACACGAAATGAAATGAGCTTCACAGAATTGAACTAGTTTTGAAATCAGCACTGATTGGCAAATCCCTAAAAATTAATTTCAGGATAATTAAAATTGAAATGTAGAAAGTGTGGCTCCAGTGGGATGGAGGAAAAGAAGTGGGACACATGCTATTACACAACATGATCCCACTTCCCTCTTATGAGACATGCTTAAAAGTCATTTGAGTACAATTCATTTACTTAGAAAAAGTGATATCTGGAAGTCCTAACACAATTTAAACCTGAGACATCTTTCAGCTCATGGTTCAAAATCAAATTGATTATATTTATTTTTTAAAGAAGCAGACTGTTCCAGATGGCTGCAATTCAAATTTAAGGCTGACTAACATATGTCTGATTGAGTGAAATGTGATTTTGCTAACAATACCAAGAACTAACAAGGAGAAATATAATAAATTATCAAGATGGCAGGACTTTTGGAGATTGCTCACGGAATCAAATTAATATCAAATTTTTTAAATGTTAGAAAATGTTTTCTGAGGAGCCTAAGTTAGCTTTTCTGTAGTCCATGCAGCAAGGATTTATGAGGACAAAGTGAAAACAGTAACACAGATAGGAGCCTGGTTTCTAGTCTGTGACTCAAGAGTTATATGATCATAGACAAATCGCTTCAGCTTTCACCTCTAAAATGAGTGCTGGCATAAAAATGTCTTTAACAGGCCAGGTGTAGTGGCTTATGCCTATAATCCCAGCACTTTGGGAGGCCAAGACGGGTGGATCACCTGAGGCCAGGAGCTCAAGACCAGCCTGGCCAACGTGGTGAAACCCTGTCTCTACCAAAAATCCAAAAAATAAATTAGCCTGTCTCAAAAAAAAAATTTCTTTATGCTCCAAATCTAACCAACTTCAAGTCTATGAGTCTAGACAATTTCTAGGGGACAGCATCATATCTGAAAGGACATAAAAATGGCTACAGTATCAAATTGTTTCATGAAACATAAGAAAAGCAAGTTCTAATAAAATCAGGTAATTTTCCCAACACTATAAAAACCATCCAGGAATGTTCTAAGATCCTTTTTTATGAAAGGAAACTTTAAAGCATATCAGAATTCACCCTAGATAGGCCAAGCTATAACTTAGCAAAAAAACAAACAAACAAACAAACAAGCAAAAAAAACCCAAAGTAAAAATATAAACAAAATCACAAAATGTGCTCAGTTCTAGAAGAAGTCAAATAAGACTATAAGACTATATAAAGGATATACTTGGGCCATTCTGTGAAGGTGCTCCCTTTCAAATCGTCTCTGCTTCAAAGAGAAAACCATTCTGATCAGAGAAAAGAATCAAGAGTGAGCGGAGAGCCCAACACGGCACTAACAGCCAGAGATTCCCAGCCAAAGATGTGATGGTAGCCTTGATGTGGCCAACTTAAGTATAGCAGAGAATGGACAGGAGATAATAATCAAGTTACAACACTGTTCTTAAAAGCTGCACTCCTGCCCACCTGGGGTGGAGGTGGCAATTGAACAGGGGAAGTGGTAGGAGCAGTTTTTGGTCTATGTACTGACTTTATCTCTATTACTCCTGTAACTTACAGGAAATGAACACAAGGCCAGCATCATCATCGCAGTTCCAAAGCTCCAGTTGACTAGGTAAGAGAAAAAAAAATGCAAAGCACCCACCAGACTAAAATGCATTTCCCTTTTTTTGTGCTCTAATCCTAGCACTATCTCCACAAATGGGGTAATGTGTTGAAGTAAGAGGTTTTGTCACAGACTTTTCACAGCCCTCTACTTTTCCATAGTTCGGAGACACCCAATCATGCTGTCTCAAACAATGAAAAAGTCCACAATCAATACATCTAAAGGTGCTTCTTACTTCATGTGACATTTATTTTGTATCTTCATTAGTAACACAAAACTAGTGCCTGTAAAATTTCCAGAGTAGCATTAGAAAATGCAATTCATTAGAAACTTTGCAAAAAGTTCCACTCTTTCAAATCCCCATTTTGGTCACTGTCAACACTACAGTGACAAAAAATTAAGAAATCATTTTGGTGAGAACCAAATAGATACCCATTTCCCAGAGAGCATAGTCAGCAATTTAGGTATTAGCCAAAATTAGTAGAGATCCCTCTCCTTTTAGTCTTACCTTTGATCTAGGTGTGTTTTCCTGACTTGATGAAGGCAAAGCCTCCCTGAAATTCAGGTCTTCTGCTTCAGAGTCATTTCCCTCATAATCGTTTACTGAACAAAGGCGGGGGGAAAAACTGATCAAATAGAAAACACTATACAGAAGGAAAAATGGAGCCTTAATGAGAAAAAACAAGCTACATGAGGGGAATTTTCATCTACTTTTCCTGTTTTCCAAACACCCCATCTTTATCTCCTATGGTAATCATCTCTTTCTCCCCTGCTTTGAAAAAATCAACATAGCAAAGCTGATCCTTCTTCTAGGATTATCCTCAGGGAGTTGACTTTTGAGCGGTTCCCTTGTTCCTCATTGCCATATTATTCAAGAAAGTACTCTTCAAGTAAATCCTAGATATTTACAACCTGCAGAACCTATGCATTGGGATCTACAGAATACAGTCTTCTGTGTTTCAGAGTCTATTTCTTGAATAAAGAATACTGTGTTACAAATGTCGCACTGTAACTTCTTGTATTATTTATAATTCATAAGTTAGTAATATGTTAAATTATACAGAAAATTGTTTTCGGCTTTGTTGAATAATGTAATATGAATCATCCCAAGGAAACTCTGGGTTTCTTATATGATTATTCCTAATTACTGTGTTAATTTTACTGCACAGACTCTTTCAGATAAGAAGCCGAGAGAAAATTTTCTCTGATCTCAGTACTGAGCACTCAGAGTACTGTTTCTCATACCATGGGAGCCTTAAATATTATGATTTAGAAATTCTGTGGCATGGCATATTACAAAATCAATAAAAATATAGTAAACAAGTACTATGGAAATGAAAAAGTGTGTTCCTGAATGTGTGTTAAAAAGGAAATCTAATAGAAATTATGAACCTTTATAACACATGAATTAATTTTATAAATTAAAACATTAAGAAATATCAATGAAGGGACAACATATCAAAACTAATGTGAAGTAGCTAAATGAGTATTTAGATAGAGGGAAAATGTATAGGTTTAAATGTGTTTACAAAAAAGGCAGAAAAAAAAAAGCTGATATAAATGAGTTTTGTATTCAATCATAGAAGCCAAAGAAAAACTGAGGAAACCCAGAGAAACTACAAAGGAGAAAATCATAAAGAAAAATATAATAACAGAAAATAAGCCTAAAGAATAATCAGCAAAATCCAATAAACTAGTTCTTTGAAAAAAAAAACTTAAAAATACGCAACCCTCTTTCACTACAAATCAATGGAGAGTAAGTGCACAAATAACATTAAAAATGAAAAAGGATCGCTTCTCGGCCTTTTGGCTAAGATCAAGTGTAAAAATGAGAAAGGGCACAGCTACAGATGCAACTCTCATTTTTAAAGGTAATAAGCAAATATTATGAGAAACTTTAGGGAAATCTGATGAAATGGAAACTTTTATAAGAGAATTATAAGTTATGCAAATTTACTCCAGAAGATGTAGAAAGCCTAAATAGTGTAATAACCATTTAAAAAGTCAAACCAATAATCAAAAATATCACTCCCAAGAGGAAAAAGCATCTGGGCCCAAACAGGTTTCCAGATGGGATTTTATCAGACTTTCAATGAAAAAAATCTCTCATGCAAACGGTTCTGAAAATAGGAAATTCCGCAAACCTAGGAAGGAGCTTCAAGTGCTAGAAAAAAAATTAACAGGAAAAAAAAAGTCTATGAGAATTGTAAACAAGCAACTCACAGAAGGCGACTTACAGGCCAATAATATATTCAGAAAAAGTCCAGCCTCACCTGACAAACAAAAAATGAAAAGTAAAACAACCTACAATTGACTTTCATTTATGCTTATGAGAGATTTACTGTAATAGGACTTAACCACAACCAACCAGAAAATAGGACAAAATATATAAAACAATAATTTTCAGACCTTAAACAACAGACTGTGATCCCAGAGAGAAGGGGGTGAGCCTTCTGGTTGCTCCAGATTATGGCCTCCAGAAGTTTGCAGGCTATAGCTCAGGAAAGGAATCAACGAGTCCAGTGATTCAATGAGTTGAGAAGAAAAAGATCAAAGTTAGGAGAGGCTGAGGCAGCCAGAATTTGTAGGGCAGAGTACCAGGGAGGAGGGAGCTATACAGAACAAGAGAAGTCTAAGTAGCTGCAAAGAAACCCTCTCATGTCCTTTGCAGAATATGGATATGCTTATATGAAGGAGGACAATCTCTGACACTCAGGAAGGACCACCGGAAAGTAGCAAGCCACACAATTCCTAGGAACAGTTCATATGAGCCAGAATGAGGAGACCCTGTAATACAGGGGGCGTTGAGGATAGTGCACAGAAGAGATACCTCTTAGTACTAAAACTATCCTTGGAACAGAAGCTCCTTAGGGCCACCTATAAAAAAGGTGAAGAGCAAGCCTCAGACAGGATCAGGTTAAACTTCAAGTAACATAACTACAAGGCAGAAAAACCCAACATTCTTTAAAGAAAAATCAAGGCCGGGTGTGGTGGCTCACGCCTGTAATCCCAGCACTTTGGGAGGCTGAAGAGGGTGGATCACGAGGTCAGGAGTTCGAGATCAGCCTGACAAACATGGTGAAACCCCATCTCTACTAAAAATACAAAAATTAGCTTGGCATGGTGGCACGCACCTGCAATCCCAGCTACTCAGGAGGCTGAGGCAGGAGAATCACTTGAACCCAGGAGGCAGAAGGTTGCAGTGAGCCAAGATTGCACCACTGCACTCCAGCCTATGAGACAGAGTGAGACTCTAAGAAAAAAAAAAAAAAGAAAAGAAAAAGAAAAAAGAAGAAAAAAAGAAAAGAAAAAGAAAAAATCCAGCACCAAAATCATATAATTCACAATGTGTAGTAAACAATTAACAGGTATGCCAAGGAATAGAAAAGTATAACCCACAGCCAAATCAATCAATCAATAGAAATGTACTTAGAAATGACAGATGATAAAATTCAGAAAAAAGAACTTTTAACTATTATAAGTTTTTAAAAGGTGCTCAAGGAAATAAAGAAAAACATGATACAATAAAAAGAGATATAAATCATGTAAAAATAAGACCTACTGAAATTTCTAGAGACAATGTATGAACTAAAATAAATTAACAGCAGATAAGGCAGAAGGAAAAAAAATCAGTGTCTGTCAACATACAGCAAGAGTATATCCAAAATGAAGCGCACAGTAGCGAAAAAAAGAGACTGAACAGACTCAGCAAACTGGGACAACATCAAGTGAACTAAAATTCCTGTAACTGGAATGCCAAAACAAATATGAAGAAATAATAGCTGAAATGTTACCTAACTAGATGAAAACTATAAACCAACAGACCAAAGAAGGTCAATAAAATACAAGTGTAATATATGAGCTTATAGAAAAATCACATTCATGTATGTCATATTCAAATTACTGAAAAGAAAAAATGCCAGAGAAAACAGACACATTAAATATAGAAAAACAAAGATAAGAATGATGGATTTCTCATCAGAAATCATGCATGCTAGAAGATAATGGTGAGACATTTTAAAGTATTGAAAGAACATAGAATTCTTATAGAATGTCAATATAGAATTCTATACCCTGAAAATATATATTTCAAAAAATAAGACTTCTGTAGACCAATAAAAACTAAGATTATATCCAGCCTGCACTAAACAACAACAACAAAAGTTAAAGGAAGTTTTTCAGGCACAAGGAAAAGGATAAAATATGAAAATGTAGACCTATCCAAAGGAATGAAGAGTGGCAAAACTGGAAAATACATGAGCACATAAAACATACTCTTTCACATGTTCTAATTTCTTTAAAAGATAACTCAATTATAAGGAAAAATAATAATCTATTGTAGGGTATACAACACTCACAATAAAATTGGTATCAATAATAGCATGAAAGGCAAATGGGAGGAAATGGAAGTATCTTATGTTCCTACAACTATATGTGAAATGGTAAAGCAGTTCCCGCTTACCCACAGGGAATGCCTAGTTCCAAGACCCCCAGTGGATGCCGAAAACTTAGGATAGTACTTCCTGCACTGAAGTCTTAAATCCCTCAAAGTCATCCATGAGGGTTAAAATCAGTTTTTCCCAAACTCCCATTAATGTTGACATTTTGACCTCCTCCCATAAACCACAAATGTTCTTAATGGCGTCTAGAATGGGGAGTTATTTCCAAAAGGTTTTCAATTTACTTTGCCCACAGCCATCAGAAGAATCACTATCTATGGCAGCTACAGCCTTACAAAATGTTTCTTAAATAATGAGACAGGAAACTCAAAATTACTCATTGATTTCTAGGCTATGGAATAGATACTAAATCAGGAACTAAATCAGTAATTTAAAAAAACCTACCAATCAGAAAGAGCCCGGGCCAGAAGGATTCACAGTCAAATTCTACCAGATGTATAAACAAGAGGTGGTACCAATCCTACTGAAACTATTTCAAATAATTAGGAAGAGGGACTCCTCCCTATCTCATTCCATAAGGCCAGCATCGTTCTGATACCAAAACCTGGCAGAACACATGGTCTAATATCCAGAACTTATAATGAACTTATAAACGAACAAGCAAGAATCAAACAACCCCGTTAAAAAATGGGCAAAGGACATGAACAGACACTTTTCAAAAGGAGACATACACATAGCCAAGAAGGATATGAAAAAATGCTCAATATCACTAATCATCAGAGAAATGCAAATGAAAACCACAATGAGATACCATCTTACACAAGCCAGAAAGGCTATTATTAAAAAGTAAAAATTAAAAAAAAAATGTTTGTGAGGTTACAGAGAAAAGGGAACACTTATACACTGCTGATGGGAATTTAAGTTCAACCACTGTGGAATGTGGTTTGGAGATTTCTCAATGAACATAAAACAGAACTACCATTTGATTCAGCAATCACATTACTGGCTATATGAAGGGATATAAATTGTTCCATCATAAAGACATATGCACATGTATGTTCATCACAGAACTTTTCACAATAGCAAAGACATGGAATCAACCTACATGCCTGTCAACAGTGGAATGGATAAAGAAAATGTGGTGCAAAAACACCATGGACTATTACACAACCATAAAAAGAATGAAATCATGGCTGGGTGCGGCGGCTCATGCCTGTAATCCCAGCAGTTTGGGAGGCCAAGGCGGATGAATTACCTGAGGTCAGGAGTTTGAGACCAGCCTGGCCAACATGATGAAACCCTGTCTCTACTAAAAATACAAAAATTAGCCGGGCATGGTGGCACACGCCTGTAATCCCAGCTACTCGGGAGGCTGAGGCAGAAGAATTGCTTGAGCCTGGGAGATGGAGGTTGCAGTGAGCCGAGATCGTGCCACTGCACTCCACCTGGCTGACAGAGCGAGACTCTGTCTCAAACAAAAACAACAACAACAACAATAAAAAAAAAAAACAAAAAACAGAATGAAATCATGTCCTTTGCTGCAACATGGATGTAGCTGGAGGCCATTATCTTAAGTGAATCACTACCTGGGTGATGAGATCATTTGTTCACCAAACCACAGCAACAAGCAATTTGCCCATGTAACAAACCTTCCTATGTACCCCCAAGCCTAAAATAAAAGTTGGAAAGAACTAGTCTACAAAAAAGTTTGGGTAGCTTTCCATGTTTTTGCATATTCTAGCATAACTGATTTATCATTAAAATTAGCTTTTTCATAAAAGTTTGCAACTGTTAAAGGATAGTTTCCAGAAAAAGAAAATCACAGCTCTCATACAGACATATAAATGCACATGTTACTTTATTATATTCATTAATCAGTGAGGGAATCAGGCAGATGTTATTTTTAAATTTTTTTTTAAAAAACCCATAATACTGTGTGTTAGTCTGTTAGCATCACTACGTAGGAATGTCTAAGGCTGGGTAATTTATAAAGAAAAGAGGTTTGTTCTGGCTCGTGGTTCTGCAGGCTGTACAGGAAGCATGGTGCTGGTATCTGCTTCTAGTATCTAACCTCAGGAGGCTTATAGTCATGGCAAAAAGTGAATGAGGAGCCAGCAAATCACATGGTGAGAGACAAAGCAAGAGAGAAGGGGAGGTTCCAGACTCCTTTGAACAATCAGATCTCACATGAACTGAGAGAGCACTCACTCATCACCAGGGGGATAACACCAAGCCATTCACGAAGGATCTGCCCCTATGATCCAACATCTCCCACCAGGTTGGGGATTACCTTTCAACATGATTAGAAGAGATAAACATCCAAACTATACCATACAGGAAGTCCTTGCCAGAGCAATTAGGCAAGAGAAACAAACAAAAGGCATCCAAATTGAAAAGAAGGAACAATTAGGCAACAGAAACAAATAAAAGGTAGCCAAATTGAAAAGGAGGAAGTCAAATTTGTCCCTGTTTAGAGATGACATGCTCTTACAAATGCAAAAACCTGAAGAATCCACCAAAAAACTCTTAGAACTGATAAACAAATTAAGTAAAGTTGCAGGATACAAAATCAACATGCAAAAATCAGTAGCATTTCTATAAAACAATAACAAACTACCTGAAAAAGAAATCAAGTAAGCAATCTCATTTACAATAACTACAAAAAATAATACCTAGGAATAAATTTAACCAGAGATTAAAGATCTCTAGAATAAGAACTATAAAAAATTGATGAAATAAATTGAGGAAGACACAAACCAATGGAAAGACATCTCATGTTCATGGAATAAAAGAATAAATATTTTTAAAATGACAATATAACCAAAGAATCTGAGAGCTCAATGCAATTCCTATCAAAATACCAATGACATTCTTCAGAGAAATTTTAAAATCATAAAATTCATATGGAAGTACAAAAAATACTCCAAATAGCCAAAGCAATTCTGAGCCAAGAAAAACAAAAACAAAATAAAAACAAACAAACAACAACAACAAAAAAACAAGAACAAAGCTTGGGGTATTACACTACCTGACTTCAAAATACACTACAAATCTATAGTAACCACAAAATCATGATACTGGTATAAAAACAGACACATATACCAGTGGAATAGAATAGAGAACCCAGAAATAATTCCATATGTTTATAGCCAACTCTTTTATGACAAGGCACAAAGAACATATATTGGGGACAAGAAAGTCTCTTCTATAAATGGTCCTGGAAAAAACTGGATATTCCTATGCAGAATAAACTTAGACTCCTATCCCTCATCTTACACATAATCTGACTTACAGGTGGAATCCAGGCTCACAAAAGCAGATAGCAGAATGGTGGTTTCCAGGGGATAGAGGAAGGAGGAAATGGGGAGTTGTTGGTCAGATGGTATCAAGTAACAGTTACACAAGATGAATACGTTCTGAAGATCTGATGTATAGCAAAATACATACAATACTGTATTATAATGATATTTGCTAAGAGGGTAGATCTTATGTTTGTAATACACACATACACACAAAGAAAGAAAATGGTAACTGTGAGGTGGTGGATATGTTAGCTTAATTGTGGTAATCATTTCACAGTATATAGACAAATCAAAACATCAAGTTGCACACCTTATGTATACACAATTTTTGTCAATTATACCCGATAAGGATTGGAAAAACACTTCTAGGGAGAGAGCAATAATAATGACAAGGAGGGCGGATAGAAGAGGGAATAGAAGCTGGGCTGAAGGTGGAAGGAATGAGAAAAGGCATAAAAGACATACTGAAAAATGATGGCAAGCTACTAATGTTTTAAGCAAGACAATGGCAATATGGGTCGGCTGGGAGACAGCTGACATTTAACTAAAACACTGCATTAGTAGATGTATCAAAAACCTTAGAAATGTATATGCCCTGAGTTCACAGCTAACAAAATTATGGAAACAAACAGCTTTGTGGCAGATTACAGGTTGTTTTTATTGTCTTGTTGTTTTCTTTGTGTTTTGGTGCTTTTTTGTACTTCCCAAATTCTTCACAATAAACCTATATTACATTTATAATCAGGAAAAAAAAATGCCATTTGAAAAGGGTAAAGTAAAACACTAGAGTTTAATTGTTGTTACTCTAAGCGTGATGGCTTATTAGAAATGCAGAGTCTTGCCCCCCACCGCACCCCACCAAGACCCAGAGGATCAGAATATGCAGGATAATAATCCACAGGTGGTCCCTATGCAAATCTACAGTCTGAGAGGCACTCCTGTAGCTCCTCCTGATCCCATACCCACAAAAGTAGATGATGCACCTACCAGACTCTGCTCTAAAGTCCCTAGGTGAAGACATGTTGTTCCCATCCCCTAAATGAGACTGGTAAAAGGCTTCTTCAGAAAAGGAGCCTTAGTGTCCTGTGAGTCAGGCCAAAGGTCTAGTTAGTATCCTGGGGGCCAGCAAACAATTTTTGTTCACCTGGTAAAACACACAAAGCCAAAGATTTTTCTATTACACAACTGGAGCTATCACAGCTTTGACATATTATTACTTATCAATTCAAAATATTTAAAACTGCAATTTTAATTAAAGACAAAATAAATTTCATTTGAAATTTTATCAAATAATTTCAGGATATTCCATGAGAACTGGAGATACGCTTATTTATTCAAATACCAGAGCTTAAATATGCTATACCTTGCATTCCACAAATAAATATGTGAATGGCCCCTCCACTCCAATGATGTATCTCTTTATATAAACACACACACACACACACACACACACACACACACAAATTCAATCAATGTCACTCAATGGAAACTCAGTTATTTAAATGCCACACCTAAGCTAAATTAGGTGCTGAGAATTCAGTACTGAATAAATAAGAATTAATTACAGAGACCGTCTTCAAGGAGTTCTTGTTCATTCAATCTATAAAAAGTTCTCACACAGAATAAATCTTTTTTCTTTTCTAATTCTTGCCATAAAGGGCCTGTAAGGCCATGTTACATTGCTCCCATTGGTTAAAACCAAGAATACTTTTATCTGGAGACCTTTCCATTAACTACCTGCAAATAAAATGGTATTACTATAATCTGAATCTAAAGTTAATGTGTGAAACAGATTTATTTTAAAAACTTTGAGATATAGGTGTTAAAAAATTATTTAAGACTAGGTGTAGTGGCTCATGCCTACAATCCTAGCACTTTGGGAGGCCAAGGCAGGAGGATCGCTTGAGCTCAGGAGTTTGAGACCAGCTGGGGCAATTGGGTGAAACCCTGTCTCTACAAAAATTAGACGGGTGTGGTGGCACACACCTGTGGTCCCAGCTACTTGAAAAGCTGAGGTAGGAGAATGGCTTGAGCCTGGGAGGAGGATACAGTGAGCCAAGATCATGCCACTGCAGTCTAGCCTGGGCAACAGAGCCAGACCCTGTGGCAGAAAAAATAAAATTAAATTAAATTAAAATGTGAAAGTAAGGCAAAAGATAAGTGGAATGTCACTTCAATGTCATAAAATAATGACAGGCCATCCCAAAGATTACTTATGTGGGGAAATTGTACTTTATTCAGTTCATTGTTTACTACTGATTAAAAGTCCTAGACTTAATGCAATTACAACGTAACCTATAGATTTTTGTCCAGCAGTGATACAAATAATTTCTGTCTGATAAGGTAACACTAAAGATTATAATTTATTTCTGTCTGGCATTAACCAGGTTTTCTTAATCTAATCTAGCATTCTTACTCTAACATTGGTTCAAAACGCCAGTGAAAAACCTAGATCCTCAAACTGTTCTTTGAACTACCTTTGCCATCTTCCTGGTTTCTTCACTAATTAATACATTGAGTAAAATGTTTAACCTGGTTTCATTTCAAATTTGTGAGTCACATTTATAATTTTTAAAAAACTCTGCTTTGACAAGGGGAAGAATATCTTTTTTAAATAGGAGGAGGGCTAGGCACAGTGGCTCACACCCGTAATCCCAGCACTTTGGGAGGCCGAGGTGGGAAGATCACTTGAGCTCAAGAGTTCGAGGCCAGCCTGAGCAACCCAGTGAGACCTCATCTCTACCAAAAATTAAAAAAAAGAAAAAGATAGCCAGGTGTGGTGGCACTCACCTGTAGTCCCAGCTACTTGGGCGGCTAAGGCAGGAGGATCACTTGAGCCCGCAAGATGGAGGCTGCAATAAGCTATGATTGTGCCACTGTACTCCAGCCTATGCAACAGAGCAAGACTCTGTCTCAATTAAAAACAAAAACAAAAGGATGGCAGTGTTCTTGTGACTGGCAGTGAGGTAACAGATTTCAGTAAGGAGCCTTCCCTGGAAGCAGACATGAGATCTTAAGGACCTCAGAATTAACTAAGAACCTCTAAGAATGACACCTAAGCTTCTGCCTACCAACTATGTTATTGAAAAGATACAAAATAGTACAATTTTAATTAAAGACAAAATAAATTTCGTTTCGAATTTTATCAAGTAATTTCAAGACACTCCTTGATAACTGGAGACACTCTTACTAATTCAAATACTAGGGTTTAAACATGCTATACCTTGCATTCCACAAATAAATATGTGAATGGTCCTTTACCCCAATGACTTATCCTCTTTATATAAATACACACACATATTATTAAGACCTCTCCAGTGCACAGATGAATAGACTAAAATTCATATCAAACCATACCAATAGTCAGTTGTTCAAACCTTCCATCAGAACAGCTTTGATCAGAAATGCATGCCTAATCCTAGTATTTTAATAAACAACAGTGCAGTGAGTCACAGATAACCCTACAGAAGCACAAGAATTAAACTGGATAAATTTCCCTTTCCTGGCATGTTTTCTAGTATATCTTAAAATAGACAAAACAAAGCAATATTAAAATCATTAACATTTAATTCAATTTTGAGTTGCAGCTACTGTAGTAAACCAGTAATAAGATCATACAAGTCAACATCAACACATGTGTACTGAAATTTTAGGTAGCCTAGAAAAGTAAACTATATGATAAAAACAAAATCTTCATTTGCAGAAGAAAACCTTTCAGAAAATATAGTGCAAGCTTTTACCATATTTCCCACCTCCCCTCAAGCTTGGCTAAGTAAGCCCCTGCAAGTGCTTCCCCTATAAGCTCCATGTTTTATAATGATTTCTGGACTCATCTCCTCGGGTTGGACCATAAGCATCTTGAGGACAGAAACTGTAACATTTTCACTTTTCAATCTCCAGCCACTAGACTAACACAATGGAGACATGGCAAGAAATGTTTGAGGGACTAATTAGTTAATTCCATAAAGAATGTGTATGTATCACCAGGTAACTAATCTGCATGTCCACATCAAGAACTCTGAGAAGTCACAGAGGTACCACTTGAGTGATAGGCACTCAGTCCCTCAGGGAAAGATTGTGAAAGATATTGAGGGACCAGTGGTCAGGTTCGTAAGATAAAGGTTTCCCTCCAACTCCTGGGGAAGGTGCAATAGTATAGAAAATAGAGAATTAGCCCTGATAAAAGAGAAATCCTTAAAAAAGTATTACTTATTCTGTGATAGAGCACTGAGGAAAGAGGAACAAAAGCTCCAATATGAAACAAAGTGATCCCATCTAATCATAAATAAAAGAAAAACTACAAGTGTTTGGTTTGCTCAGGAAACAAAAGCAAAACACCTTTCCTCAGGTGGCAGGGTGACATAATTGGAGAGTCACTGAATACTGTACATATTCTCAAATTCTCAGCTGGGACACTATTTTCAGTCTATCTCAAACTCTCTCAAAACTGAAGCAGGTGCTAACAAAGACTATTTCTTCACAGTGGACTTTGGGTTGGGTGCAAGATGCCAAAATAGACAATGTAAAATGACATGCTCAGCACCTTGGGCCTCTGGCAATTCTTAGCACCAGGGCTACTTCTAATTCTTGTGAAAGTTCTATCATACACTACTCCCTGAGACCTATACTAGCCTGAAGAGAAGGGAATGAAAGAAGTCTCAAATGTTCAATAGTGACTTACTCTTGCCCTACCTGTAGGCACCCCAGGGATATGAGTTCCTTCCTCTGAAATCTGTATTTCCTGTGACTAAATTCTCAGTACAAGCTTCTTAGACTACTAGTAATTATTTGGCATGTTTTATGCCTTTTAATAATGGCTCTTAGTTTTCTATAAGGAATGGTGGTATTGCTTTTTCTGATTATAAACATAACCATTAAGAAATGTCATTCCGTGGTTTCTTAATCAATCATTCCCTGTAGTGTGTGAGTATAGGGCTGGGGGCTCAGAGGGAAGCAGGGAGAAGTGAAGTGCTAAAGTGCTACCTCCAGAGCCACTGACAGTTCTGCCCAGTGCAATCAGGCAAAACAAGAAAAATAAAATAAAAGGATTCATATTGGGAAGGAAGAAGGAAAACCATCTTTACTTGCAAGGTTAAAAGCTTTATACATAATTACACCTCAATAAAGTTGACTTTTAAAAAGCCACAAAAAGATAATGTACTTCAATTAAAATAAAATACAGAAACTCTAGGATAAAGATAATATCAAGTTATTAATGCAAGTTTAAACATTAAAAAATAGTTGCTACCCACCCATCATAGACATGAGCAGCAAGCTCATTAAGGATTACTGTGAGCATTCATTGGAATAATGGAAGACTCAAGGTTCCAAAGGCACTGAGACCCTATATCAACAATGCTTCACCCTTGAAACCCAGGGACTGATGATGATACAGTTGCCATGAGCTACATTCTGAGTAAATACTTTATCAATTATTAGAATGGTTCAAGTAAAAGTAATGAATGACTTAAGACATCTTTCTGAAATGACTCTGTTATCTGGATGCCTCTGCTATTAGGGTGCAAGGCAAACAACCTTCTACTGTTTGTTTCATTCATGATATAAATTGCTTTGGCATATTCCCTCCAACCTCCTGAACCTCAGGTCCATCTGTTTGTCCATTTGTCTGTTTACACTTCTTTTCTTCCCTCCTTCCTACGTTCCTCTCCCTCTCTTGTGGAAGTGTATCAGTAATTATAAGAGGGTGCTTTATTTCAGAAGACACAATTCCTGTACCTCCAATCACTGTTACCAAGCAAAAGAGTTCACTGTTCAATGTGTTAGAAGCCAATACTATGGCACTGGGTTTTTGAGAAAAGAAAGACTTTTTTCTAGGTCAACCAACAAGGAGACAGGAGTCTAGCTCAAATCTGTCTTCCTGTACTGTTTTTAAGGCAGTATTTTTATTAGAAAATGTGTAGGGAGTGAATTTGGGGATAGTAGGAGATTGGTAGAAGGAAAGGGGGGTCTGAAAAGGCTTTGGGCATTTGCAGTATCTCTTCATGCTATCTCATGGGTCACATATGTAAATTCAGGGGGAGTTAGTATGAAACATGCAGTGGAAATTTGGGCTGTGGCGTCAGCAAGCTCATTCTGTGTAGACTCTAGTTTGCTGTATTGGTTCCAACTGATTTCAGCCAGTTTTGTTATCTTAAAAGCAGAGAGAATTTCAGTGTTTCAGAAAGTTGTTTTTGTTTTTTATTTTTATCAACCAATCCTATAAATTCAAGAATTTCTCTTTGCCACTGGTTAACTCTTTGGGGCACAGTTTCATTAGTAGACCTTGGCCTCCATACTCCAAAGAACTACTTATCTACTGGGTGCAGCTGAACCATTTCCATAACTGAGATCATGTAAGTCAGGAATGTATACACATTACACATGTGTGCAGACAAAAGTTCATGACTTCACCTACCAGGTCCAAGACGAGTCTCCTTAGGAATGCCTGCATACAAGCCTGGCCCTTGGCTGGTGTCTGGGAACTTGGCTGGTAAAATCATTGCCTACACTAATATAAATTTTTTCTAAATGAGAAAAGTAGCTCACTTCTCCTAAAACATCTGTTTTCCTTCTAGGTATCTGGAATTTCAGTGACTGCTATCAGTCACACTGACAGTCTGTGCTCATGACTAACCCCTGATAAAAACCCTAAACTCTTAAGCTCAGACAAGCTTCCCTGATAGACAACACTTCACACAAGTTTCCATACCTTGTTATTCAGAAAATTAAGTGCATCCTATGTGACTCCACAAGGAGAATATTCTGGGGAGTTTGTATCTGATTTCCCTTGTTGATTTTGCTTTCTACCTTTTCAGTCTACCATATCTTAGCCATGAATGTGACTACCTGCTGAACCCCATGAATCCTTCTATCCAATCGTTGAACCTGGGAGAGCTCTGACAAAGGCTAGCATGGGAAAATACGTTGTCTTCCTCATTAACAGACCCTTCTTAGTTATATCTCACTTTCTAAGTTCCTGCCTTCCACTTCCTAGGAGAGAAAAAACTACACAGCATTACCTGAACATCATCCCAGGGTAATCACAGAACAGCCATCTCCGCAAAAGAAGGAAAAATGAACTGTGTAATGTTGCAATATTTTTAACTGCAAATAATTTTGCATACAAGGCTTACCTACAATTGACCATTTTTGCACTAAATGCTTTTTTAAAGTAACAAGCTAATATCTTCTTAATATAAAAATATACATGTCCAACAAAATTTAACTTGTTCTGCTATCATGAAAAGAGGAATTCCAGACAAATGTCTCATAATGTGCAGTCAATGGGCTTATATAAATAAGGACTAAAATTACAGGCTCAATAAAAGATCATCAAACCAGGGAAAACTCCAAGTAAAATTATAATACACAGTTGTCCCTCCCACCTGAGACTCACCTGAGACTCATACTTTCCTTCCAACATGCCTGTTCTGTCTATTCCCTCAAGACTCAGACTTCAAATGAGTTCCCTTTAAGTAGATAAGAACAGTTTCGCAACGGATTCCAGAAAAACCAATATGCCACCTAAAGGACAAGGAAGGCATCTACACTAAGAAAATGAAAAGAAGTCAGAGAGAGAACTTCCTGACTTACTCAGATTATATATCCATGGGTCCACATATGCCTAAAGGCCAACCTTGTCCTTAATCTTTAGTCACTCAATCTATAAAATAAAAGATTTAGAAAAGGGCTATGGGCAATATGGATCTTTTGCAGGTACAAAATTTTTTAAGTCCATAAACTTTCTACTTAAAACACTGAAGACCATTAGTGATGGTTATAATATTCTTGTCTGAACTGAGAGCTATAGTCAGGCTCCTTTTAGAAGCCCTGCCATGAACAGAGAAAAAAGAAAAGGCATGTTCCTACTCCTCTATCCTCTGTAGACATCTTCTCCGTGATAAGTTAATAATGAGAAGAGAAAACCAACCTTCTAGCTTTCTCATCATTTAATGGTTTGAACCCTGAGTTTCTGCAGCCTGGAAAAAAAAAAAAAAGAGGAAGCAGCAGCAGCAGCAGCAGCAAGTTCTCCTCATCTGAAATTCTACCCTCTCCTAGCTCACCTTCCCCACCTTCTCACTCCTTTGTGGTCCTCACAGTCAGATATGAGGTAATAGGTGGAAAATACTTCCCTGTGATAAGGCAGTGATGCCTGAGCCACCCACTTCTGGTAAGAAAGCTGTTCCTAAAGAATAGCAAATGGTACTCATGTTTTGGGGGACTCTATGCTACTTAGAAGCGAGTGGCTAAAGTTGCACGGTGACTAATTCAAGAACAAACAGAAGAAAAGGACAAACAGAAAAATAAACAGAAAGAGGCATGCCCTTAGCCTCAATCAGGTAGTTCTAAGAAAGTGATTAGGATGGTTTGGAGACCACCAGCCCCATACCTTATCCAGTCACCAAACAACCCAGGCTGGGGTGTGGTTGCCTGGCAACCACACCTTCCATGTACCGAGTATGTCACAAATATGTCTTTCAGGTGTGTGATCTCTTGACTGTGAAAAGTAAAACGCTAAATCAATTCAGCAGGCTTTGAGTGTCTACAATGTGCTAGTCACTGTATCAGAGATGTGGATCCAGGGATGATGCAATAACTTCTGCCTCCAAGGAGCTCATAGTTTAGTGGACATCTGGCAAAGTACTCACTGATTCTTGACAATTCATATAATCATATCAATAGATGCAAAAAAGCATTTGACAAAATCCAAATTCCATCCTTGATTTAAAAAAAAAAATTCTTAGAAAACTAGGACTAGAGGCAAACTTTCTCAACTTGATAAAAAATATCTACAAAAAAAATCTACAGGGAGAATCTAGAGGCTTTCCCCTAAGATAGGTAACAAGGCAAGGATGTTCTCTTTTACCACTCCTATTCAACATCTTATACAACTTCTGACTAATTCAGTAACAAAAGGCATACAGTTGAAAAGGAAAAAATAAAACTGCCTTGCTTCTCAGATGACATAAATGTCTATATAAAATATCTCAAAGAATAAACAAAAACAATTAGCCACTTAATCTATAAAATAAAAGATTTAGAAAAGGGCTATGGGCAATATGGATCTTTTGCAGGTACAAAATTTTTTAAGTCCATAAACTTTCTCCTTCAAACACCGAAGACCTGGAACTTAGCTGGGCGTGGTGGCTCACACCTGTAATCCCAGCACCTTGGGAGGCTGAGGCATGCGGATCACTTGAGGTCAGGAGTTTGAGACCAGCCTGACCAAGATGGTGAAGTGCCATCTCTACTAAAAATACAAAAAATTAGCCAGGCATGGTGCCGTGCACCTGTAATCTCAGCTACTCGAGAGGCTGAGGCAGGAGATTCTCTTGAACCCGGGAGGCAGTGGTTGCAGTGACCTGAGATCGCGCCACTGCACTCCAGCCTGGGCAACAGAGCGAGACTCCATCTCGAAATAAATCAATAAATAAAAACTCCTGGAACTTAATAAGCAATTACAGCAAGGTTGCAGAATACAAAGTTAATATGCAGAAGTCAATTCCTTTTCTATAAACCAGCAATTAACAATTGGAATTGGAAATATAAAACACAGTATCATTTACATTAGCTGCTCTCCAAAACTGAAATATACAGGTATAAATATAACAAAATATATACAGGATCTATATGAGAAACTCTACCAAACTTTGACAAAGGAAAGCAAATATCTAAACAAATGGAGAGATATTTCATGTTCATGTATAGAAACACTCAATATTTTTAAGACCTCAATTCTTCCCAATATGGTTTATAAAGCCAATGTAATTCCAACAAAAATACCAGCAAATTGTTTCATGGGTATCAACAAATTCATTCTGAAGTCTATATGAAAACGCAGAAAACCCAAAATAATCAACAAAATACTAAAGAAGAACAAAGTTGGAAGACAGATAATACAAGATTTCAAGACTTACTATAAAGCTACAATAATCAAGACCACAAGGTACTGTTGAAAGAATAGACAAATAGATCAATGGAACAGAATACAGTATCCATATAAATATATCCACACAAATGTAGTCAACTGATCTTTAGTAAAGAAGCAAAGAAAATTCAGTGAAGAAAGAATATTCTTTTTCAAAAAATGATAATGGAACAGACCTTACACCTTTCACAAAAAAATAACTCAAAATGAATCACAGACCTAAATGTAAAACACAAAAACTCTCAAACTTCTAGAAGATAACTGTATTGGTGCCCAAGAGCTGCTATAACATGGTACCACAAACTAGGTGGCTTAAAAGAAGGGAAAACAAATCTGGAAATTAGAAGCCTTAAATCAAGGTGTCAGCAGGGCTGCACTCTATCTGAAGGCTCTAGGGGAGTATACTTCCTTGTCTCTTCCTGTCTTTTGGTGGTTGCCAGAAATCCCTGGACAGCACGATTCAACTGTCTCACACAATTTAAACCACAACAGTCTTCTCTCCAATCCCCCAAAAGTCATATCCTTACTGTATGCAAAATACATTCACCCCATTTCAACATCTCCAGGACCCTTAACCCATTCCAGCATCAACTCTAAGTCAAAATTGCCTCTAAATATCAACTGTAATGTCCCAAATCTCATCTCCTAAATCATCTAAATCAAGTATGTGTGAGATCCTGGGTATGGTCCAGCCTGGGGCAAAGTTTCTCTCCTATGGACACTGAAATCCACAAAACAAGTTATCTGCTTCCAAAATACAACAGGCATAGGACAGACAGTCACCTTCCAAAAGGGAGAAACTGGAAGGAAAAAGTGGGTCACAGGTCTCAAACAAGTCCAAAACATGGCAGGGAAATTTTCATTAGGTTTCCAGGGCCTGAGAGGGCTGTCTGGATCCATGAGTCACACAGGTAATCTTTTCAGTGAATGGTTGTTCAGCCACACCCTTGGTCCTGTTTCGGGAGTATGTTTCCTGGATTGGCTGAGAACTTTCAAACCCATCAAGTGCTGGTTCCTTTGCTTAACAATTCCTTCCTCAAGTTATCTCTTTCCTTTTGCATTTCACTATAAGCAGCAAGGAGAAACCATGGCCCCATCTTTCACGCTTTACTTAGAAATCTCCTCAGCTCACTGCCTACAAGTTCTGCTTTCCACCCACAGGTAAAACACAGTTCACCCAAATTTCTGCCACTCTGTAATAAGGATCACTTTTCCTCCAGTGTCTGATAATATATTCACCACTTCCTTTCTAAGGCCTCACAAGAAGCACCTTTAAAGTTCACATTTCTAGTAACATTCTGTTCATGACAACATATGTATTCTCTAAGATGCAAAGAATCTATGATAGATGCTTTTTCTAAAATTCCCCTCTCTACTGAGCCTTCACCAGAATCACCTTTAATATCTGTATTTCTACCAGTAGTCTTTTCAAAGCAGTCTAGGCTTTTTATGTTATGCACCTAAAAATTATTCCAGTCTATACACAATTCCAAAGCCACTTACATGTTTTTTAGGTAGTTATTCCAACAGAAAAAGATTTCCTGGTATCAAAATATGTATTCATTTCCTATGGCTGCCATAACAAAGTGCCACAAATTGGATGGCTTAAAAATGCAGAAATGTATTCTCTCACAGTTCTGGGGGCAGAAGTCTGAGGGTGGCAGCAAGGCCATGCCCTCTGTTAGGCCCCAGGGAAGGATGTTTAATTGTCTCTTCCTAACTTTTGGTGGTTTCAGTAATCCTTGATGTTCCCTGGTTATAGACATCCCACTCCAATTTCAGCCTCTGCTGTTACATGAATTTCTCCCTCTGTGTCCAAATTTCCCTTGTTTTACAGGGACACCAGTCATTGCATTAGGACCTCAGCTTAACTTGTTTAACATTTGCAAAGATCCTATTTCTAAGTAAGGTTGGACTCACAGGTATCTGGGGTTAGGACTTCAAAATATTCTCTTGGGGTATAAAATTCAACCACACAACAATAATAAAAGAGAAAATCTATGTGACCTTGGTTTTGGCAATGAGATTTTAAATACAACACCAAAAGGATAATCCAGGAAACAAAGTTGATAAGCTGGACTTTATTAAAATTAAAAACTCCTTTTCTGCAAAATACACTGTTAAGAGACTACAAAGACAAGCTACAGACCAGGAGAAAATGTTTGAGAAAGCACATATCTGACAGAAAATTTCTAATAAAAAATAAACAAAGAACTCTTAAAGCTCAACAATGAGAAAACAAACAACCTCATTTAAAAATTGGCAAAATAGGCATGCCACTGCAAATTCCGTGAAACAGGAGAAAAACTGTGAGTTCCCAAAGTGTAAGAGGGAGAAAACCGACCTCCAAACACACATCCCTGCTGGGAATCTGAAAATCCAGATCACAGGAGAAGAATTTAACCTTACCTAGAGATGGAAGGGATTTAGAGAGTCACACAAAATATGAAAGTAGAAGTAGCAGCAGGAAGTGCCTTGTATGCACTCCCAGTCTCCAGCTCGAGCACAGGGACGCCATCCCTGACTATATCTCACTGGGGCCCTTGTGGAAGACAACCAGCAGAACTGCGGAAGTGTTGTGGGGTGAAGAAAGCTCCCAGATGAAATTGGTAGTGGTTTCGACTGGGCACACATTTTCTGGAGTGGAGTCCGAGGAAGGAGCAGGAGCTGCTGCAGATACAAGCAAGTACAGGAGTACAAGAACTGCCACCAACAGAGCAGGGGCAAGGTCTGGGCGGGGCATTGCAGGATATGCGGGCTTGCCAACTGCATGGGAGTTGAGTCAGGCCTCTTGCTACTGGCTATCCCTGACTTCCCTGGCAAACTATATAATACAGTAGAGGCGGCCAAGATCCCCTATGGAACATAACCCCATTGGCCGGAGAACCAACCCCCAGCCCCCACAGTGGCCTCAGCAAGCCCCGCCCAAGGAGCTTGCCTAACCCTGCTGCCTAACCAGACCTGCCTAACCCTGCTGCCACCTGACGGCATTTCCCTACCTGCCCTGGTAGCCTAACACAAAACATAGAAACTCTGGGGAGCTTCATCCCCTGAACCCTGCCCCCAGCACCCTCTGCTCTGGAGGGTTGTCTTTAATTGTCTATGGAGCATATATATATATACTCTTTCCCTATGGTATATAAGCCCTGAGTCTGGGGAGTAATGGTGTGAACATCTACCTGTCTTACACGAACACATTTCTGCCCAAGAACACATTTCTGTCCATAAGTTTCCCCTAAAAATCACCCTCTGCCAATAAACTAGATATGCCTGCCTCATTCTTTGATTTCTTGGCTCCTTCTGTATTTGGAGGTTATTTTGCATATATGGCCCTTTCAAGGAATATCTATCTATATAAAGATAAAACAATAAGCTATCAAGCTATAATAAGATATGGAGAAAGCTTAAATCAATGTTTCTAAAGAAAAGAAGCCAATTTGAAAGGCTGCATACTATATAATTCCAACTATATGACACTAGGAAAAGCAAAACTTTTGAGACAGCAAAAAGATCAGTGGTAAGCAGGGGTTCAGGGGTTGAGCTAGAATAATGAACAGAAGAAGCACAGAAGACTTTTAGGGCAATGAAACTATTTTATATGATACTATAATTGTGGATACATGACATTATACATTTGTCAAAACCCATAGAAATGTACAATATAACTAGTGAACCTTAATGTAAACTACAGACTTCAGTTAATACTAATCTATAGATATTGGCTTATTAACTATAGCAAATGTACCAAACAAACACAACATATTAATAACAGGGAAAACCATGGGGCTGAGGGGGTATAGGGTAACTTTCTGTACTATCTACTCAATTTTTTAATAAATCTAAAACTGTTCTAAAAGTAGTCTGTAAAATAAGATTTTTAAGAGCAAACAGAACAAGAATTTTAAAAGATAATTGTCTGAAGCACAAATAATGACAATTATATGGTGCACTTTATAAGATATGTAGATGTAAAATGTATGGCAATCATAACACAAAGTATGGGTGGGAAATAATGGAAGCACACTGTTGTAAGGTATATATATTATACTATATGTGAAATGATATATTATTTGAAGGTAGACTGTGACAAACTTATACAGCCTAGAGTAACCACTAAGAAAAGAATAAAAAGAAGGAGAAGAAGCATGGAGGAGAAAAAGCAGAAGCAACATAAGGGCAGAGTGGAGATAAAATGGAGTAAAAAATTGAGTCATTAAAGAAAGCCTCATTTAAGCCAAAAGGGTATGGGAAAAGAAGGGACTAGATTAAAGAACAGGTAAGGCAAGTGCAAACCTGGCAAGATGATAGATTAAGATCTAATCATATCAATAATTATATTAAATGTAAATGGTCTGGCCATCCAAATTAAAAGTCAGGGAGTGTCTGACTGGATTAAAAAAGTGAGATCCAGTTATATACTGTCTACAAGGAACCCACCGTACATATAAAGACATTGATAAACTAAAAAAATGGAAAAAAGATAACCCATGTAAACACTAATCAAAAGAAGGTAGAATGGCCATATTAACATCGACAACATAGACTTTAAAAAATGATAAACATTTCCAGAAATGAAAAGGGGCATTACATAATACATAGGAATTCTAAATGTGTGTGTATCCAACAACATAGCTTCCAAAGTGATAAAATGAAAACTGAAATGAAAAAAACAGAAAAATCTACAACAATGTTGGAGACAAGTAGGCAGATAATAAGGACACAGAAAACCTGAACAACATTATGAAGCAATTTGGCCTAACTTTTATAGGGCATCCCAGCCAACAACAAAATAAGTATTAAAGTGGACACGGAACATTCACAAGGATAGTCCATATTCTGGGCCTAAAAACAAACCATAAAACATTAAACTGAAATACAAAATATGTTTTTAAAAATGGAATTAAAATAGAAATCAACAGAAATAAATCTTTAAAATTCTCAAATATTTGGAAATTAAACAATATATTTCTAAATAACTCCCAATTCAAAGAAGTGACAAAGGAAATTATACAATATTCTGAATTGAATGAAGGTAAAAATACAACATCAAAATTAGTGGATGCAGCTAAAACAGTGCTGATAGAGAAATTTATAGCATTAAATATTTATATTGGGAAATAATAGAGGCCTCAAATGAGTAATCTAAGTTCTTACCTTAAGAAATTAAAAAAGAAATTAAATCCAAGGCAAGCAAAAAGAGGGAAATAATAAAGAGGAAAAAAAATCAATGAAATGGAAAATAAAAAAATAACAGAGAAAAATCAATGAAACCCAAAACAGGTCCATGAAAAGATTTTAAAAAAAATTGCTAACCTCTAGACCCTCAATGTCCAGTAGAACTTTGTATAATGATGAAAACATTCTATATAGCAGCACCCTCCAATGTGGAAGCCACTTGGGACTACTGATCACTTAAAATGTGGCCAGTGTGACTGAGGAACTCAATTTTTAATGTAATTTTATTGAAATTAATTTACATTTAAATAGACACATGTGACTAGGGATAACTATTGAACAGTGCAGCTCTAGAATTGACTACTGAAAGAAAGGAAGGGGTGGGAAGGAAAGAGGAAGAGGAAGAGATAAAGGAGGGAGAGAAAGAGGGAGGCAGAGAAGATGAGATACACAAATAACCAAAATCGGAAATGAAATGAAAAAGAGGACTTCACTACAGATCCTAATGTTAGTGCCATTAAAAGGATAATAAGAAAGTATTACAAACAACTGTATGCCAAAGTTGATAACATAGATGAAAAAAACTAATTCCTTGAAAGACACAAAGTACTAAAGTTCACTCAAAAAGAACTGAGTAGCATATACAATCTGAATAGCCATATATAGTTTTAAAAACTTGAGTCCATGGTATAAAACTAACACAAGGAAACTCTAGGCCCAGATACCTCCCTGTTGAACTCTACCAAACCTTTAAGGACGAATAACAATCCTATACAAAATGTTCCAGAAAATAGAAAAGAGAACACTCCAAACTAATTTATGAGACCACCATTAACCTTGATACCAAAATCAAGAATATTACAGACCAATATCTTTATACACCAATATCCCTCATGAATGTATATGCAAAAAAAACCTTAACAAAATATTATCAAGTAGAATAGATTTATTTCTCCATTTATTTGGTTTTCTCTCTTCAATGTTTTAGAGTTTTTAGTATTCAAATATTACAGAACATCATTAGATTTATCCCTCAGTTTTTCATGTTTTTGATACCATTGTAAACTGTATTTCTAAGTTTTAATTTCCAATTGTTCATTGCCAGTGCTAAATACAATTGATTTTTGTATATTGGCCTCACATCCTGTGTCTTTGCCAAAGTCATGTTATTTCTAGTTGCTTTTTTGTAGATTCCTCGGGCTCCTACATAAACAATCATGTTGTCTGCAAATAAAGACAATTTTATTTCTTCTTTTTTTATCTGTGTACATTTATATCTTTTCCTTCCTTTATTTCACTGACTAGGACCTCCCTATAACGAACAGAAATTGTGAATGGAACATCCAATGTGATGCTGGTATAAGAATAGACATATACCTCAGCAGGAAAGAACAGAGAGATTAGAAATAATTCACACATAGCAACAATTGATTTAGGAGGGGAAAGGTGCCAAGATAATATAATGGGGATAGGATAGTGCTTTCAACAAGTGTGTGGGAAAATGAGACATCCACATACAGAATTATGAACTTCACCCCATACTCATATTATGTACAAAAATCCACTCAAAATAGATGACAGACCTAAATGCAAACTCTAAACCTATAAAACTTCTAGCTTAAAGCTTAGGGGAAAGCTTTTGTGACACTGGATTACACAAAGATTTCTTAAGACACTAAGCACAAACCACAAAAGAAATAATTGATAACTTGACTTTGAAAAAATCAAAAGCTTCTGCTCTTCAGAAGACAGCATTAAGAAAATGCAAAGTCAAGTCCCAGTCTGGGAGAAGATATTTGCAAAACACACATCTGAGGAAGGACCTATATCCTAAATATATAGACCCTTATAACTCAAAAAGAGGACGACCCAATTTTAAATAGTCAAAAGATGTGAACAGATACTTCACCAAAGAAGAAACATAGATGGCAAATAAATATATGAAAACATGATTAAGACAACTGGTCAACATAAAAATGCAAAGGAAAACCATACGAAATACTGCTACATACCTACTAGAAATGCTAAAATCAAGCACACACACACAGTCCAATACAAAGTGATTCTGGTGAGGATGTGGAGCAAATGGAATCTCATGCATTGCTGCTGGGATCTCTACTCATCATCTTGCTTTATTTTTCCCAAAACCACTTTTTATTACCTTAAAGTTTGCTTACCCATGTAAGTCCATATATATCTTCTCACATGTTTATTGTCTATCTTCCCCAATATAAGTACTATGAGGCTGGCAACTTGGTCTGTCCTGTCATCACTGTGTCATTCTGGCACCAAGAACAGTGTCTGGCAATCTTTACATATTTATTAAAAGTGAGGAAGGGGTGGAAAGAAAAGACACTAAGACATCTATAAGTGAATATATGAAGGCAAGGAACCCAGTCACAGCCATCTACAGAGGAGCGTTAAGAGAAAATTAATTTAGACCACCAGGAAGCTGCATGTTGTAATGCATGATTCCCAATTTCAGCTGCACATTAGAATTAGCTGGAGAGCTTTGCAAAATCCCAATTCCAGGCCACACCAGACCAACAAAATCTGAATCTCTGAGAATGGAACACCAGCACTGGTCATTTTTTTTTTTTTTTTTTTTTTTTTAGACGGAGTCTTGCTCTGTTGCCACGCTGGAGTGCAGTGGTGCCATCTTGGCTCACTACAACCCCCACCTCCCAGATTCCAGTGATTCTCCTGCCTCAGCCTCCCAAGTAACTGGAACTACAGGTGCATGCCACCACGCCCAGCTAATTTTTGTATTTTTAGTAGAAATGGGGCTTCACCATGCTGGCCAGGATGGTCTTGATCTCTTGACTTCGTGATCCGCCCGCCTCAGCCTCCCAAAGTGCTGGGATTACAGGCGTAAGCCACCACACCCAGCCAAGCACTGGTAATTTTAAAGTTCCCAGGTGATCCCAGTGTGCACTCAAAGTTGAGAATCACTGAAAAAATGGAACCTAGACCTTGGAAATGTACACAACTGAGTGTGCAAGCTACTTAACCTCCCTTAGCCTCAAAATTCTCATCTACAACATGGGAAATATATGTACCTCCCAGAGTTGCTGAAATATTGAGATTCTATATAAGGCTCTCAGGAAATGTAAATTCTCATCCCCAAGGGAAACTTGATCAAATCTTCATAGCTTAGGGTAAGAAATGCTAATTCTACCAGCAATTCACATTTTTCATTGTTAGCTGATTATTTTATTGAACATTTACATTGAGGAAATTCAGAAATGCTCATTTTTCCACTTTCCTGGTGGTAAGATGCTGCCTGAAGCTATGTTTAAATTTTCAAGAGTAAATAAACTATGGCGGGAAATCTAGCTGACTATGCCAGTGAATCTCAAACCTAGCTGTACATTAGAATCATCTCAGAAATTTTTTTAAAGAAACACACGTATGTCCAGAACTCACCAGGCCAAATTAAATCAGAATCCCTGGGGTGGCTCCAGAATATCAGTATTTTTTAAAAAAGCTGATAGAAAGGTAATTGTAAAACACAGTCAGGGCTTAAAAGCACTGATTTGTACTAACGATATGCCATGCTAACTGCACATCACAGTCACTTGGGGAGCTCTTAAAAAAGTTGATTGATTCCAGAACCCTACCGAGACTTACTGATTCAGAATCTGTGGAAGTGGAGCCTGTCATTGTGCAAATCTTCATAAAACTCCCCACTGGTGATTCTGATGCAAACTCACTGAGAACCACTACTTTGTATCATACATTTACTCTACGTGTTGTATATCAGAAAGATCATTTAAAACTTTCAGTGGTCTCAAATGCCAAGCCTGCCAGTTACTTTTAATCAGTAACTGACACAACACATCACAGTAACTCCAATGACTTTACAGATCTTTTCAGAACACTTTTATGTCCAGCCCACTGACCCACATCACCTACCCTATGCTGTGCCAAATACTGGCTATGTAGTCCGTTGGTATTTCTAACCAAATTCCTCTAAATGGGCTGCTGATCTGGGAAAAGCAACATGGAATCACATTACTCCCCAAGCCTTATTCCCCTTTGCTAAGTGGTATGTAATGCCAGGATTAATGAAATGAACTCTATTGGTCAAATGAGTCTGAATGAAATCTGAGTTGTTGTCTGCTCCTGGAAGCAAACTGTTATCTATTTGTTTCCCTCAGAGAGATAAACTCAGAGGAAACAGGAGTGATCCCTGAGGTGGGAATAATATAGTGGGCTGCAATTTTAAAACTCTGCTTAGACAATAACAGGACACTTGGAATCTTATTTTGATAGATCAAACCAATCAGTATATACAGCACCATGGTGGTACTACCAGGCAGGTGATAATAGTAGCATTTAAACAACCAGGCACTATATTAGGCATATTAAATATATTAACTCATGTGATTCTCAACTGCGATGATAATAGCCCTATCAGGCAGGTACTATTATTATTTCCATTTTGTCAAAAAAGAAACAAAGGCACACAGAAGTTAGATGATTTACCCAAAGTCCCATAGCTACTAAGTGGCAGTTTTCTGAAACCAGGCAATCTGGCTTTGGAGTCCAACATCTTAAGTACTCCACTGCAATGCAGATGAGTGATGGCCAAGCAGTTTAAAAAAAAAGAAAAAGTTATTGTCTGCAGTAGAAACTGGAGGTCAGGGTATGGGTACCTTGGGCAAATTACTTAACCTCTTGGAGCCTATTTTTGCATCTGAAAAATCAGGATAATAATTGTACCTGCCTTGTAGAGCTGAGGTGATGATTAAACAAGATTAGGCATGTGATGTGCTTAGAAAAGTACTTGGCACTTTTAAGAGCTTTCTGTCAGCCATTATTATTATTTGTATTTTAAAACAGCTCAAGTGGTCAGGGAGAAATGAAAATCTATTAAACTGAAAATTTTCCTGCCAATCTTAGATTTGTAGATTCTGTAGATTACCAGTACATCAGATCCAATATGAAATGCAGTCATAAAAGATTTTCACAAAAACTTAAGGACTGTCACTGTGACAAACCCCAGCCCAAACAGTCCAGGACAATGGCTCTAAAAAGCAAACATCTTCAATTATCAAGCTGTGTACATGTAAACACAACAGGAACCAGACTTCTGAGTAGCTGCAAACTGCAGTTCTCTGTGATGGGAGAACATGCCCCAGAACAGCCTGTCAAGTGGTAATTGCCAGCCATCCTCAGTCACATATGTATAAACAGAAAAGAAAAACAAAACGAGGGCTCAAATAAAAAGCGTTAACATTCATTAAACGCCTGACACTCTATTAAATGTTTTTCATGCATTACCTTCTTTAATCCTCACAACACCCTTCCAAAGTTGAACATGAAACAACCACACTGGTTTATATCACTTTAAATGTAAGACTACACGTCTCAAATGGGCCCTGAGCACTGCCTGGGAATCCAACTCTATTTCTCTAGTACGCTCACTTTCACCCTCTCTAGGACTCTGTCACATATCTCTCCTCCAAGTTCCCACACCTTTCCTCTCCCCCGCTGCCCTCCCTCTAAGCTGATGGATGCCTATACCAATAGACTCTTTTCCCACCACCCACTGTATCTGCACCTGTTATCTCAGCTTCCCCTCTAGTTACAACAGAGTAAGTGTCCCTGCTCATTTCAAAACCAACTACTCACCTGCTTAGGGTCTTCTCCTTTCTCAGGTATTCAACAACTACCCTTTACAATGTTCCCCTCTTTCATCTGCAGCAGTTTTTCCTTTCTACGAGTTTAATCACATTGCCATATAAACATTCTGCTTTCTTCTATCTTGAAAAAAACTCTACCCAACCTTAAGGCCCCTCTTCCCCATTAAAGTTGTTCTTGTCAAAATGATTAAAATCCTCCTAATTACCAAAGGCATCTTATACGGTAACATTCAACATGGTTGACCACTACCTCCCTCCCTTTTTTGGCTTCGCCTCCTCTTCTTTGTGTACACTATTAAACTAGATGTCTTCACCAGTCCCATATATTTTAAATACTATGTACAGTATATGATGCCGATTCCAAAGGTTAACTCTAGCCCGACATCCTCCAGAACTTCAGATTTAAATTTCTAAAAAGCACATTTGATATCTCAACCCAAATATCTACTAGATAATTTATGTGTGTATATTTCACCATACTAAAAAAAACTACCAGGTGACTGATAAATGGAGAGAAGGTGAATAGGTAATGTGAAAAATCAAATGTGCTAAATATTCATGGCACCTGTAGGTGGTAGGTGGTCAGAGTCCTCTGCAAAATTCTTCCCAGCTATGCTTATGTCTTCTATTGGGAAAAACCTACTGGGCATCTCAAACCTAACACATTCAAAACATAAGTACTGATTCCACAACTTCCAAAAATGAAACCTACCCCATCCTACAGTTTTCCTTGAGTCAAGGCTAGCATATGAGGGCCTTGGCATATGGGGGCATTGCCTATCGCGTTCATAGATATTCTGAGCTTCTAGAACAGCATCTGGCACACAGGAGGCGTTCAAAATAGCTGCTGAATGGATTGATGAATTCATGTTCTTTCTTTCTAGGTCCCTCGACCTCCACCCGCCCTTGAGTCATTGGGAAGTTCTGGGCTGTCTCAGCGCCTGATGATGGCTTCTTACCAATCATACCACACGGCTGCTCCTCAGGGAGTTGGTGGCATTCCCCTACCACAGAGCCACAGGGTTCCTGTCCCGGTCCCGTCTCGCATAGGCGCCCCAACACGCGTCACAGTGCAGCTGGCATCACACGGCCAGAATCACGTCCTGCCCTCTGGCTGCAGCGACACTACTTCACAGCTCAGGCCCACCCGGGCAGTCTCCCGGGCCAGGGCCACAACCCACGCCTTGTGACCCCTGCACGTCAACGGCATCTTCCTTCTTCACGCCCGCCCTCCCACAGCCCGGCGCAGCGGCCTCCCGCACGCCCCCTGCCCACCTGGCCCCCAGCCACCTTTCCTCACCTGGGCCTGCGGGGCCGCCCCAACTGTCCCGCTGCAACCCCAGCAGCCTCGCCAGTTGGGTCCACGCCTAGCCTGCCGGCCTTCGTCGCTATCCAATCCCACCTGCGCCCGCGAGCCTGCGCACTGGAGCTTTGCCCTGCGCCGCGGCCCTCTGCTTGCGAGGCCGGGAGAGACAGAACCTGCCTCTACCGGTCTTCCAAGGCACTGAGAGCCCATCGCCGCGGACGCCGCTGTAAATTCCCTGCGGGCCCTGTGCACCACCCTGTGCGCGTCCCCCTCTCCCAGGCCAGGCTGATAATGTTAACAGCTCTCTGAGCTATGCTCATATCCTGAACCACTGAGGACTGTGTTCTCCAGGAATGCTCGCCTGACCCACGCCTGCCCTCTAAGCCCCTAATGAGGCCCCAGAGGGCTGGGGTGGGGGGGTCTCTTTGTAGTATCAGAGCAGGGCAGATAGGCAAAAGGAGTCAGAGCCTGTGCCAGAATATGAGGTCAGTTGGCTGCTAGGTCAATTAAGACAACTTCAGCAAGGGTGGTCAATGTAGAGGGAATTCAATCGTTGGCATTGCCTGAAAACAGGAAGCCAGAATCTTTTTATCTTGACGAACAAACCTCTATTCATTGGTCCTGACCTGAGCCACTTTGGTGAATCCAGATACCCTGAAGGTGTGACAAGACCTGCCTCACTTATCCCCCAGCCTTCAGTGCTGGTCCCACAGAGAGCCATATGCTTGAGCTGAACTGCAGTTAAGCAGTGACAGCTACCCTCTGTCCAGGCTCTGAGGCCAGCTTTCTGCTCCGTGAGTCACTGACAGTGAGTCTCTACAGAGACTTTTTCTTTCTGTAGCAGCCAAGGTACCCTGCAAGCAACCCACGCCATTGCCATATGTCTTAGTTTGTTTGTGTTGCTATAAAGCAATACCTGAGGCTGGGTAATTTATAAAGAAAAGAGGTTTGTTAGTTTCACAGTTTCACAGGCTGTAAAAGAAACATGGCACCACCACCCGCTTTTGATGAGGGCCTCAGGAAGCTTCCACTCATGGCAGAAGACAAAGGAGAGCCAATGTGTGCAAGACAGAGGAAGAGAGAGAGGTGGGAGGTGCCAGGCTCTTTTCCATGACCAGTTCTCATGAAAACAAAGACTAAGAACTCACTCAGTTCCATGAGACTAGCACCAAGTCATTCATAAAGGATCTACCCACATGACCCAGACACTTCCCACCAGGCCCCACCTCCAACATTGGGGATCAAATTTCAACACTAGATTTTATTTATTTATTTATTTATTTTGAGATGGAGTCTCGCTCTGTCGCCCAGGCTGGAGTGCAGTGGCGTGATCTCAGCTCACTGTAATCTCCACCTCCCCAGTTCAAGTGATTCTCCTGCCTCAGCCTCCCCAGTAGCTGGGACTACAGGAGCATGCCACCATGCCTGGCTAATTTTTGTATTTTTAGTAGAGACGAGGTTTCACTGTGTTGGCCAGGCTGGTCTTGAACACCTGACCTCAGGTGATCCGCCCGCCTCAGCCTCCCAAAGTGCTGGGATTACAGGCATGAGCCAACGCACCCAGCCCAACATTAGATTTAGATGGGACAAATATCCAAACTATATCACCAGGGTAAGATTCCCCTTTAAAGATGGACCCCATGTCTAATGTTTCTTCATAGTGCCTAACATCAAGATTCTGCACTGGTCATCATTTCACAAACATGAGCAGCATGGCTGCTCCAAGACACACAGAGGGAATAACCCCCATTCACATCACCAGGAAATCCTTGCATGGAGGCTAAATGAACAGTTGGTAAGAGTGGACCCTGAGGTGTCATTCCATCTCCCCCAGACTTCCTGCTTGACCACACAATATTCCCAGAAGCCAGTGACCCAGAAGGCTCTTCTTGGCTTTCTGTCCTTTTACCTGTGAAAAATTCGAAGAACTATAAAGTTTAGGGCCCATCACAGTTTACTACCCTTCTTTGGAGGCCTCTTTAAACCCTTGAGTCTTACCAATTACCAGTAGCACTAGGAGCTTTGCAAGCCTGGCCTTAAGTCCCTGCTTTGCTACTGAATAGTTGGTGACCTTTGGCAGGTTACTTCCCAACTTGTGTCTCAGTTTTCCTTTTTTTAAAAAAGGAGACACAGTTGCAAGTGTTTAATGAGACAAAAAACAGAAGCATTCATCACCACGCCTGGCAGTGAACACTGCTTTTCTTGCTCAAGAGGTTTGAGCCATACGCTTCTCTAGGTCTGTGACTCTCCCAGAGTTTCTGGGAGTTCCTCTGTGAGCAACAGACCCACTGCAGTCTCCATACTTTAGGGGTAAGCCTGGATGCCCTTCACACATCAGTCTGGATGAGTTCATGCACCACTCATCCAAAAGTGAATCCAAAAGTGATTCCAAAAGCAGAGGCCAGAGATCTAGTTGCTAATGTTGCCTCTCCTCATGGTTCTAGGATTCAGCCACACAGGGCTTCCCATTGCAGCTTCAGGTCCTCCTCACTCCCCAGTGCAGGCCCAGTTTCACTCTCAGGTCCTCCAGCCCAGGCCTCAGTTCTGCCTCTTTTAGTCCATCCCTCCAGATCCACTTTCCAACAGGGCTGGGAAGTCGCTTGGTTGTCCCCTGCCTGCTGCACCACATCCCCCAGACACCGCCTCCTTATTTCCTGCATGGTCTGAGGCTCAATGCTAATCCCTGGGTGTCTTAGTCTGTTTTGTGCTGCTATAACAGAATTCCTGAGCCTGGATAATTTGTAAAGAACAAAACATTTTTTTCTCACAGTTCTGGAGAATGGGAAGTCCAAGATCAGGTGCCAGCATCTGGTGTGAGTCTTCTTGCTGCATCCTCCAGAGGAGAGGAACATTGTGTCCTCATGTGGCAGAAGGCAGAGAGCAAATAGGAAAAAGGAAGGCAAACTCACCCTCTTCTAATAGCATTAATCTCACCCAGAAGGACAGAGTCCTCATGGTCCTTTCACCTCCCGAAGGTCCCACCTCCTAACACTGCCACAGCAGCAACCAAATTTCTTTGAATATTAATACATGAGTGTGGGAGGGGACAAACATTCAAATCATCACACTGGGAAGGCTCAGCTGGAGGAGCAGAATTGGCCAGCACAGGGAGGTAATGCTGGGTTTGGAATTTTTGTCTTTGCAGTCCTTGGCCTTGATCCGGATACCCAGACGCCCTCTGAGATGGACCTTGAGGGCCGTGCCAATGTCTGCTCTCTGCTGAGGTAGGGCTCATCTACTCCTTACAAGTATAAGAACTTACTGCCAAACATACCCTCCTCCAAGCCATGGGTCCCCAGATACAGTCAGGAGGACCCCAGTGGATAGCTGGAACTCAGGACCTCAGGAGAGATCCCAAGGCCTATGCTCGAGTTCAGAGTTTTCTAATTCAGGCTTGGAGCCCAGGAACAGAAGATAACTAAGAACAATACTGACAGAAAAAAATAATCACTTCATTGACATTACCCTTCACAGGACCGCCTGCTTCAGGCCTGTGCTTTGCAGCCTGGTTCATTTGGGAATGGTATGCTTCACACCCAGCCCTGTTAAGTGTGAGTTGATGAGGACCATGAGCTTGGAAGAAGCCGTGGGGGCCTCTCTGTGTGTTTCTCTCTGCCCTGCTTTGAGACACTTCACATAAAAGACTCTATAAAAATAAACTGTGGAGATTTCAATGCCAGTAAAAATCCCAGTGGAGGTAGAAAACTATTTAAAGAGCACAAGGACATACATTTATCTTGTTGTGAATCCCCGGCTGCCTGGTCCCTGAGCCTGACACACGGCAGATGCCCAATAAATATTAATAGATTGATCAATTTGTTGGCTGCTCATCCATTTGCAGCTTCAGCCAGCCCATGGCTCTGCGTGCACACACCACAAGGAGAGAGAATCCATAGACTTCGACAGGAGAGAGCTGCTCAGCTGGCAGGAGAGCCTGCCACAAACCCTTGAACATAAATGTCCTGCCCTCCACTTCCAGCTCTACGTACTAACTGTAAAATAATGATGTGGCAGAAAGTGAAGTGCAAAGACTGCCAAATTCTAAGAAAGAACCTGGTTTCATGCCTTTTAATCCTTATGAGTCATTCCTTGGTCTGCGCCAAGCCCTGTGCTTTACAGCAAGAATACAGATGTCTTCATTGAACTGCATCTCATTAGCTGGACCTAACAGAGTGCAAATTTCTTTCCAATGCCATTTGAACTCAATGCCCAGATGCTTTTTTCCCCTGGGCCCGTGCAGATGAAATCTTGGGCTGGTTTATAACTTTGAACACCCAGAATATTCCCATTTCAGTTTAAGATTCCCTCTGACTTATCTAATTGTTAGGCTCTCTTCACCTTCAGCCTGAGAAATGGGCACCATCAATTTCTCCTTTCTCACCCAGCTTCACACCCAGGCCCTCCAGACTCAGTGGGTGTCTGACACCTCTACAGCTGGAGTCCTTCAGCAATGGGCCCCCTGGGCTCAGCAGATATTTTGAGCTGGCCATTTCTTCTGTGAGACAATCTTGTGTTTTCTCAGGAATTCCCCTGCAGAAGATCTCTGAGTACAAACCCATGCCCAGTGATGTTGCCTCTGCCCAGCTACTTACAAGACCATTCCTCGGCCCATCCAGGGCTACCAATCTGTTTATGTAATTTGTGCCATGAATAAAGGTACCAGACAATTGAGTAAGTGGAGGCTGAGTTGTAGGCATGGTTTTGTGCCCCAATAATGGGCTGCACAGGAAAGGAAGGGCCACCTTTGTGTAATTCATAAGCTGCAGGTGGATGCCTCTTTGTGATTCCCCCTAATGCATGCTCTGTGTGAGCTGAGGCTCTGGCTCTCTCTCTGCTGGGGTCAACATCACCCCTGCTTGTTTTACAGGCTATGACCTGCCTGCAGCTTACTTGCCTACATAAAAAGGGCATCCGCGCCCTTGCCCTGACACAGGGATTGGCGGTTCACTCCTAGCGCCATCCTCTTTCTCTTTGCTCTCCCGCCAGACATGTTGTTGCCGTCATCACCTCTCACCATGAGATTGCTCAGGGATGTTCCAGACACCAAGCCCTTTCAGAAGACACATGTCAAACCCTGTATATGATTTGAGCAGTCTTTCTCATGTGGCTGGAGGGAAAGGAGAGGTACCTCATTCCTCTCCCCTCCACAAGGAGGGGAAAGAGGTATGGAAGGGGAAATGTCATAGCATTCCAACAACTCTTTTCAGAGGAATTTTCTACTCCTGGCCTCAATTTTTTATAAACCCTCATGGGTGTGTTAGTGGTGGAAGTTATCTAGGTTATCGGTGGCAAACCTGTATGGGTCTGCAGCAATCTCAACTCTTGCCTCCTCAGAAGAAAGAATCTGAGGTGCATGAGGCAGAAGGAGAGGCCAAGACAAGTGTTAGAGCAGGAGTGAAAGTTCATTAAAAGGCTTTAGAGCAGGAACAAAAGGAAAGAAAGTACACTTGGAAGAGGCCCAGGTGGGCAACTTGAAGGACAAGTGCCCCATTTGGCCTTGAACCTAGGATTTCATATGCTGACCGACTTCCAGCATTTTGCACCCCATTTCCCTTGATTTTTCTCTCAGGGTGAGCTACCCACATGCACAGTGGCCTACTAGCACCTGGGAGGTGAGCATGGGCAGTGTGTTTAGTGGAGCTGTACGCATGTTCACCTGAGGCTTTCTTCCCTTTCCTGGTGGAATGCCTCTGGAAGGTCATACTCTGCCATTTTGCCCGTTAATGTGCATGCTTGAGCCCACTTGCCCAATTCCTGAAAGCTGCCAGTTACAGATGTTTTTATCTATTGGGAAGCTGCCTCTCTCTGGTGCTGGCTGTGACCAATTATTCTTTCAGAGAGGCAATGTGACAATTGCCTGACCATCACCTGTTGGTTGCCTGACATTTCTTGTTGGTGGGGGTAGCCCTCTCCTGCTCTGCTCCTGCCTGACTAGCTACCTACCAGGAGCTCCAAATGACTGCAAGAGAGAGTTTGGAGATGGTCCAAGAGCTGGGATTGGAATTGGAGAACTAGGTTATAGCCAGATACTGGAGAGTTTCACATGCCATGCTAAGAAATTTGAACTTTATCCCATAGGATTGCAGGTGAACGATATTCAGCAGGAGAGTACCTGGTCTTATTTGCCTCTGAGCATGCTGGGTGGAGAGGCATGATGAAAGTGGAGACCTCTTTGGTGTGCACTAAGTAGGTTAATAAGCAATGTTCAGAGAATCTTCCATTCAAAGTAAAAAAATTTCTCACCTTTTTTTCTCATTTCTCAAGGTGGTTTCTAATTCGGTCTTGAGAGCCAGACATTCTTCCTGGTTTGGGTTTTGTATTCTTTTATGAGTTCATCAATCAGGTGAGGCCACAAGGGGAGACTTAGTGCTCAGGAACACAAAACCTATTATACTCTTGGGTCCTAGAGACAGCAGGCACAGCAGGCCACACAGGACCACATGGGGAAGACACCAGGGTGGCCAGGAGACTGAGGACAGGAGCATGCATTTGATATACAAACTAACCAGCACAGAGCTACATCTCTATCTGGCCCTACGCTCCAGAGACCATATTCCTCTCCTTAATCATCCCAGGGCCAGGTACAAGACAACTAGAAACCGTGCCTAGAGCCAAAGCCCGCTGGAATGATTCAAACTAGCTAGTCCTAAGCTGTTCACCCTGCCTTGCCTTGCCTTTCCCATGGAAACCCGGTAAAAGCTATGGCCTAGGTGGCCCCCTCACCTGTCTTCTGCCTCCTGACCACCCTGATGTCTTTCCCATGTGGAGTGGCATGGAATGCCTCCTGTTTCTAGGACCTGTGTGTATCATAAACTTTATTTTCCTGAGCCTGTCCTGGGTCTCTTCTTGTGGCCACACCTGACTGACCACATCATAAAAGAATACAAAACAGCTTGCCAGGTCCTTAGGTGGGCAGCATGATTGAGTGAGAAGGGCATAGGCCTGGGTTTTATTTCAGTGCCTTTATCTACTTGTGGCCTCAGACAAATTATTGAACTTCTCTGGGTCTCAATTTCCTCATCTATAAAAATGACCCTTGCAGTGTACGAGTCAGAATAAACTAGATTATGCTGCTGTAATAGATAAACCCTGAATCTTAGCCACCTGTATCAGTAAAGGTTTCCTTCTTGCTCTCAGTGCATATGCAGTGAGGGTCAGCTGGCCACTCTGCTCCCTGCTCCCTGACTTAGCACACAGGCTGATGGCACGCCCACTGTCTGTGATCACATTAGGATCTTGGTGACAGATGGAAGGAGCACTCTGGTGGGTCGTCCACCTGCAATTAAATACACCGGCATGGAATTGGCAATCCATGCCTCTCCTCACAGCTCCGTGGTTGGAAATCACATGGCCCTGCTCCACCACAAAGGGGCCCTGTGTGACTACCACAGATGCCTACTCCACAGGTGTAGGGTGAGGGTTACATGGGCTACAACACAAAGAGCCTGGTGCAGGGCTTGAAGGCTGGCAGGTTCTGACAAAACTCTTCTAGGAAGAGCAGCCTCCACCCACAGCTGTGGTCAAGACTACCAGATTCGCACTGGCAAGTACTTTAGAAAAAGCATACTGTCTACAGTAACACTGCTAAGCATGGAGACTTATTTATTTATTTTTGAGACAGAGTTTTGCTCTTGTTGCTCAGGCTGGAGTGCAATGGTGTGATCTCAGCTCACTGCAACCTCCGCCTCCCGGGTTCAAGCGATTCTCCCGCCTCAGCCTCCCGAGTAGCTGGAATTACAGGTGCCCACCATCATGTCTGGCTTAATTTTTGTATTTTTAGTAGAGATGGGGTTTCACCATGTTGGCCAGGCTGCTCTCGAACTCCTGACCTCAGGTGATCCACCCACCTTGGCCTCCCAAAGTGCTGGGATTGCAGGCATGAGCCACCGTGCCTGGCCAGAGCTTTTCACTTTAAAATTATTTCAAAATGGTAAAAGGAAATCTGAAAAGTCCAGTGAAGGAAAACCACTTGGGAAACAGAAATCCCAAAGATCAGGATTGATAAATGTCTCTATCTTCGAGTTATAGACAGAGAGGGCTCCAAGGACAAAATTTGAGGAAAGATGGTTGATAATCTCTTGTGTAAGAAAGTTTTCATTTGCAAGAAACAGGCAGAGCAACTTAAGCTGGCTTAAGCATGCATAGACTGATTGCCACAGGAGCTCCAAGTCCCGCTGCATGACAGGGTTCAGTTGGTTGATTCAGTTATAACAACTGGGACCCCAGTTCTCGCCATTCTTCCTGCTCTGGCATCCAGAGTGTTGATTTCGCTTGGCTTCCTTTGAAGACAGATCCCTTTTAAGGTCATGGAAAGGCTGTCAGAAGCTATACAGTGGGGTAGATAAATAATTGCTTCTGGAAATTTTCCCTAAAGATGTGTGGGCACTTTTCTAAAAGTCCCTATGAAATATTTGTGTGTTTCACTGGCTTAAATTTAACTATGACTTCTGTCCCTAGCAAGAAGGGTTGCCTTAAAGCCAGTTGGGCCTTCCCTTCTCCCCCACCTCTCCTTAACTTCTTGTAACCACTAATCCATTCTCCATTTCCATAATTTTGTCATTTTAAGAATGTTCTATAAATTGAATCATACTTGTACTACCTTTGGGGATTGGCATTTTCTCATTCCACATAACTCTCTGGAGTTTCATAGAAGTTGTTGTGAGTATCAATAGTTATTTCTTTTGATATGGATTACCACATGTTACTTAGCCATTCACTTATTTGAAGGATATCTGGGTTCTTTCTCATTTGGGGTCATTACAAGTTAAGTTGCTATGTATATTTTCGTAAAGGTTTTTGTATAAACACAAATCTTAATTTCTCTAGGATAAATACCCAAGGTGCAATTGCTGGGTCTTATGGTGATCGTGTGTTTAGTTTCGTAAGACCCAATCAAACCATTTTCCACAATGTATACACTATTTTACATTCCCATGAGCAATGTATGAGCAATCCCCTTTCTCCATGTCCTCAGCAGCATTAGGTGTTGTCCTTATTTTTTATTTGACCATCCTGATACATATGTGGAGATATCTTATTGTAGTTTAGTTTGCATTTCCCCAGTGGCTAATTGAAGTTGAGCATCTTTTCATGTGCTTATTTGCCATCTGTATATTATCTTCAGTGAAATATCCATTCATGTATTTTTCTTATTTTCTAATGGGATTTTTTTCTTTTGTCAAGGTTGAGTTTTGTGAGTTCTTTATGTATTCTAAATACTAGTCCTTTGTTCCGGATACTTCCTCCTCATTTGTTGCTTGGATCTTTTATCCTCTTAACAGAGACTTTTTACAGAGAAAAAGAATAAACAAAAAACAATTTGTCAAGTTTTCCTTTTCTTTTTACAGATCATGCTTTTGGTGTCAAGTCTGAGAACTCTTTGCCTAGCCTTAGATCCCAATGATTTTCTTCCCCTTTTTTTCCCTAAAAATCATATAGTTTTGCATTGACATGTAAGTCCAGGATCCATATGGAGTTCATTTTTGTACAAGGTGTGAGGTTTAATGTCAATGATCTTTTTTTTTTTTTTTTCATCTACGGATGTCCTATTGTTCCAGCACCATTTATTGAAAAAGCAATTCTTTCCTCATTGAATTTCTCCTGCATTTTGTCAAATATCAGTTGGGAATATTTGTGTGGGTCTATTTCTGGATTATCTATTCTGTTCCATTGATCTATGTGTCCATCTTTCTGTCTCACTATTACTGTAGCTATATAGTAAGCCTTAATATTAATTACAGTGATTCCTCCCACTCCACTCTACTTTTTGAAGATTATAGCTATTCTAGTGCTTGTGCATTTTCAAATAAGTTTCAGAAGATATTTTTATTTGTATAATGTAAATTACATTATGAATATACAATAAAATTTATAAAATTAATTTCAGAATAAACTCATCTATGATTACAAAATACCTTGCTAGGATTTTGGTAAGAATTGCATTGGACCTATAAAATTAATTTGGGGAGAACTGATGCCTTTACTATGTTGAGTTTGGAAGCCCACTTTTGCACTACAATTTAGTGCTGAATATGTATATGCTTTAGCAACCTCATAACAACGGTGTGCTGACACATAATAGGAGCTTCATAAATATTTATGGCAGGGAGGAAGGATGGGAAGGCCAAGTGAAGTCTTGAAGAGTTTGGATCAGTTGTCCTTAAATCTGGCCACAGAAACAACCATCTGCTGAGCTTGGTAAAAGTACAGATTTCTGGGCTTCATCTCAGCCCTACTGATTCAGAATCTCCAGGGATGAGGCCAGTGAATCTGTATTTTGAACACCTGCTATAGTTGATCCTCAAGCACAGCCAGGTTTGTAGCATGTAGCAGCCAACAATGGAAGCAGTGTGCAGGCGCTGAGCTGAGTCTCCTAGGAATTAGCTGTTCTTTCTGACATTTGCCCTGAAACAAAGCAAGTGGTAGCTGCAATTGAGTCCACCTAAGACAAATTAACATGTTCTTCCTGATATATGACTCAAAATGAGTATAGCAGCCTGGGAGTCAAGGGTGGTCCTTTCCTACAAGGAGGAGGACCAGATGTATTTTGAGCCTGTATCCACCAATTTCTTTTCCAAAGAGGAAATAAGCAACCAATGTTCAGCAGAATGTGAGCAGTTCCTAAATTGTAAATACTGTTATTTAATCACTTCATTGCATACTTGATTAGTTCCCTAACCTTGAGGCCTGTGAAACTGTAATGATGCACCAGGGGAGCTGGCCTCAGCTCTGAGAGAATTTAGAACAAGGCTGTTCAGATCCCTGGAAACATCTTTTTCATTAATAGCAGAAGAAGCCAAATGACCCATAAGATTTTTCTGTCATAAGGAGAACAGAAAAATTAGAAACAAAAGCACATAGAGGAGAGTTCATGAATTAGATTTTAGAGCACAGGCTTTTTAAATCTTAGTCTTTGTTTTTGTTTGGTTGGTTATTGTTGCTTTCCTTCTCTTATTTTGCAGTTTCAGTCTCTTTATTTTCAATGTAAAATTTATTATATAAGTAATAGATATATAAAGGTAATTTTTAACAAAATAAAGTGTATTCTCCTAATCCCATCACCCAAACTTTGGTCAATTTCTGTTCCATTGCTGAGCCTCCCCTCTGTTCACGGTGCTTCTCCTTGTGCCTGCGAGGCATTCCATAGTTGTAACCAGCATGTAATTCTGAGTTATTATATCAAACACTTTACTAAGTTGCGAGTTCTTCGTAGTTATATTACTTTCTTGGCAGTGCAGTATTCTATTATGCTATTGTACCATCATTTTCTCTAATGTTATCATTATTCTAATGCATTTCAGCCAATTCCAATTTGTTGTTTTTATCAAGAGCACTACAGTGAACATTTTTAAATAAATTGATTTTTTTCTTATTCTGGATTATTTCTGTGGGATAATTCTCAGGGATTTCATTGTTGGGTCAGTGGGTATACCCATTTTTATAGCTTTTGATATTTCTGAATATGCCAGCTTCAGCAAAATTTTGCCAGCATTGGACAGTTTTTTTAAATTTTATGAATGTAATGAATGCAAATCAGTATATTGACATTGTTTTGGTTAGAATATTTTGTGTGTTTGTTGGCCATTTGTATTTTATCGTATATTTTGTCTATGGAAATCCTGTATTGATCTATTATAAATTAAAATGGGCTTTCTAAATATTAAAAATATTAATCTTTGTTCACAATTATGTAAATGCTTTCCCAACCCATTGCTATTCTTTTTACATGAGTTTTGTCATTATTATTGTATGGAAGTTTAAACTTTTTCAATATTGTCAGCTTTGTAGGTTTTCTGTTGTTATACTTTTGGTCTACTGCAGTAAGCTGGAAGAGTGATCATTCCTCTGCAGATCTGATAAAACGAGAGCCTGTTTCCTACCAGTCTTTCTCTGATATGTGTGTGTGTGTGTGTGTGTGTGTGTGTGTGTGTGTGTGTTTTATGTGATTCTAGTAGATGAAGTGGGCTTTGAAACTGAATCAATTTTCCAGCTCTCCCAGTTGTATCAATGAAGTTGTCTCCCCTTCCCCTATGCTGAGACCCCAACTTTGCCCTGCTTTCTCTGTTACACAGCACCAGGTATGCTCCTGGGCCTGCCTGTGGTCCCCCAGTGTTTCTTTTGTGCATTTGCTAATCCATGTGTCTTTAGTTCTTTGTCCTAATATGGGGTAATGCTGGATCTAACACATCACTCTGCTTTCTTTACTAGATATCCCCATCTTATTTTTCCTTCATATGCTTTGTAGAATCAGGTATAAAGTCCAAAAGGAAAGTCCTTTTAAAAGAATGTATAGCTATGTGGAGTTGTATAGAAAAGATACAGAAAGATATCAAAACATATTACACCCATAACCTTGGAGCCAAGCCCCTTAACAGAGTCCTTCCACTGTGATAACCATAAAACTCCTTTGTTCCAAGGTGAACTATGAAGTGCACCCTGCAACACTGTATCTGTCCCGGAGAGTGTGTGCCAGTGCTGCAGCAAGACTTCACCCTGCCTGGGGTATCTTGGAGGAAGAGATTGGTTCTCAATTCCTTTCACAAAGGGAAGCCCCCACCCCCTTCTCACCACCTCCCCTTCCCACACGCGCGCGCACACACACACACACACACACACACACACACACGCACGCACAAAGCTTTGCTGGACGTAAACCCCAGAACTGAAGAGAGGCAACAGCCATGATTCAAAATGAGTCTTGGAATCGACAAGCATGCTCTTCTTGAAGTGAGCTCTTAACAACTGGGCCAGGCCCTTCATCCCAGGTCACCTTTGCAGGAGCCTACAGGTTTCTTTCCCAGTGGCAGAGCTGGTGGGTACACTCTTTGGACCAAGGTCACCTGAGGGCTCTTCTATCCAAAGGACCTCCATGCAGAAACCCTCAGTCTCTGCCTCGGAAGACGGCTGTTCTCTGTGTTTATCTAAAACAATAAGCAGCTTTAATGGGTGACCTCGTCATTTTGCCAGTAGCCTTCCCTAAACAGAACAGTTCCGTCCTCTTCTTAATCCCACTGAGCAAGGGAGTTTTCCTTAGCCTCATAAAAGAGAAATATTTTGTGAAGGAAAAGTAGGACTCATGCCACTTTATGGAAAGACCTGTGTTACACAAATTCACATGAAAGACACATTCTAGGGGAAATGTGAAAAGCCACCAAAAGTAGAAGCAGACAGATGTAGTGTGAATCCACCTGTCCTACCTGTATGAGCTCAGGAAATTAAATCTTCTAAGCCCCCTTAATTTTTTTTTTTTTTTTGAGACAGAGTCTCGTTCTTTCACCCAGGCCGGAGTGTAGTGGCACTATCTTGGCTCACTGCAAGCTCTGCCTCCTTGGTTCACGCCATTCTCCTGCCTCAGCCTCCCAAGTAGCTGGGACTACAGGCACCCACCACCACGCCCAGCTAATTTTTTGTATTTTTAGTAGAGATGGGGTTTCACCGTGTTAGCCAGGATGGTCTCGATCTCCTGACCTCGTGATCCACCCTCCTCAGCCTCCCAAAGTGCTGGGATTACAGGCGTGAGCCACCGCACCCAGCCCTAAGCCCCCTTTAAAAACAGAAATAAGAATATCACTCAAAACTGACATAAGGATTAAGTTAAATCACATGTAGAAACTACCTTACGCACTATGACTGTCTTAATGTCTAAAAGGACCAAACAAAATAACTGGTGATTAGGTTTAAAGGCTGCACTGCTCTGTAGGCAAAGTCCTCTTTATAAATGAGATAATATATACAGTGGAGGGGGTTCAGCTTATAGGGGTTATAGACACTTTGGAGAATTTAAAGGCTGTTAAGACCTGTATTTCCCAAAAGAAGCACACAAGTCAACATTCTAGGTGCAATAGCCCATAGATGCCATGAAGAACACCTGTGGGCTGCTGCATGGAGCCAAACTAAGAACTCATGCCTTGGGCACTCATGTTGGCACACCCATCCTCTGTCTGCAGGGGAGGGTGAGACCTGTTCTCCTTTTTGTGCAGGATCAGTGATTCTAACAGGACTCACCCTGAGCACAGCCCATGCTACAGTCCATACATAGATGAGGGCATGGTAGAGCCTGGCACCCTTGCCATAGGTGAGTGCTTCTCCCCACCCAGACCCATACCACATGTTAGGGCACAAGTCCAACTGTCTAGTTTCTTTGACTACATGGAAAAAACCCAACAGGATTGAATGCATTAAAAAGCTTATATCTTCTCACTGGAGTAATTCTCTCCTTTGTGATTGATGATAAAAATAGCTAATGTTTTTTAAGCCCTTACCACTACACACCTGGCGTTGTCATAACCGCATGAAGTGGGTTTGGTTATCTGGCAGTCAGCTGCATATTGAATGGTTTAAAAGTCATGTGCTGCAGGTCTCCCAGCCAGTGAGTGGCAGGGCCAGGCTTCAAATCTGAGCTCCCCCAACCACAATGCCACATCTTCTGCCTTTCTCTTCCCGGCTGGCTCAGACGCACTGCAGATCTCAGTGGACTGGCCCTTGTGGTCCCCACCAATTGCTCAGCCTTCTTCTTCCTGTTTCCCAGCCCTGCGGAGCCAGCTCCAAGAAGACTGCCCCCTGCATACAAGCTGCTTCCTGCTTGCCCACACTTCTGTGAATCCATAACGTACACTCCCAATGCTGTAAAGTGTTGTACTTCCCCATAAATGAACATGCACAGTCTTCAAAGCCTCTGAATCTTCCACTCTATTAACTTGTTGCTTCCTATTTCAGATAAGAACCAGCCCTTTTGTTATATTTTAATTTCAAATATCCACTCTCCTTATCAGCTGGCCCACCACTGTCCTCTGAGGCTCCAGCTCAATCATTTGTGGTGGCTGAGCTTCCTTATGTACAGCCAGGAAAATGGAGCTGGGACACAATAGGAGGAAAGTTAAGGAGTGGGTTTCAATTATACTTGAAACTTCTCAAACTGTTGTCTCGTTAAGTTTCAGTGGACCTTGAAACTGTGTTTATGTGAAAGTTTTTGGAACATTCAGCATTTTTAAATATACACTGTAAGTACTTTAACAGAATGTTGGGTGGTTACAGACCTGCCCAGAATTTAACCTCCCTTCCTCCCAGTGTGACAGTTTCTGTTGCCCTTACTTTTTCTGTGTCCTCATCAATATGTTCTGACCCTGCCTGGTGACCAGGTCAGCTTCTGGTGGCTCCTTGCATTAACAGTGAGACTTTCCTGATGCTGGTCTATACTCAGCCACAGCAGTCCAACAAGATGGGCCCTATGACAGGACACCAAGACTCTTCTCTGCAGTACATCCAGCAGAGGGGCAGGTAGGAGCAGGCAAAACAGGAATCAGCACTAGACATTCAGACCCCCAAAAGAGAGAGACCTGAGGAGAGAGATGCACACTCCTGTACATAGGAGGCAGAACAGATGGGTGCTCGACAGGTGGGCCGTGGAGTGGGGAACCGATCAGGTTTGAATTCTAGTTCTGTCACTTACTTATTGGATAACCTTGGGAAAGCCCCAAATGTGTCATGTGTGAAATGGGGGTGATGACAGTCCCCATGTTGTAGGTCGTTGTCATGGTGCAAGGGCCATGGTAAGTGTTCTGTGAAAATGGCCATTACAATGACGCATGACCCCCAAAGAAGATGCAGGGGAAACTGGGCAATGCCCACAGACCATCCCCCACCCCCAGTTGAAGTGGCTTGATAGCACTGAGCCCTGCTCTGGTCAGAGCTCAGCCCCAGTCCACCCAGCCAGAGTGATACCCACCTGAGGGCACCGTATTCCAGGGCCACAGGCTCCTCCAGGTCTTCCCATTCACTCCCACTCTCTGGGGACTCTTCTGGAGGCAAAGACTCTGGGACAGTGCCCCAAGAGCAGAACTGTGGCAAGGGAATGGTCCCAGAATCTGCCTCCAAACATTCTTCACAGGGTAGCTGGCCTTGGCATGTAGAGTTGATGGTAAGATACTCTTCATCCTCCGAGGTGGGAGAAGGGGCTCCACATGGATGGTACATGTCACCTTCCCCATCCTCCCCATCCAATTCAGGACTAGAATACAGAAGCCCATGTTTCTTCCAGCCTTGATAAAAAAAATTCCTCACCCCACCTTCCCCTTGCCTTTTAGAATACTCTGCACGACACAGGCCCGTGAGACTCAGCCAGTGTTCAAACAGCTCATGCCAGAGGCTGCTCTGGGCACCAGGAAGCAAGAAACTTATAAGGCACCAACCCTGGCTTTGAGGAGCCCCCAATTTAATGAGAAGTTGGAGCAGTAAAGAAATGTTACAGTCCATGTAGGAAGTGCTATGATAGAAGCAGCTGGAGCACCTTACCGAGCTCAGGAGACCGGGGGGATGGGGGGGCTTGCCAGAGGGCACAGCATTGCAAGCAGGGCAATGACCCAGTTCTAAGACAGACTCGTCACATGGCAAGCAGAGTCGGTCAGACTTTGGACAAGTTTATTGACTTCTTTGGAACCTCAGTTTTCTCATTTGACAAAACTAGATGGTCAAGAAGCGTCTAGGATTATTGGGACACGTAAATTACATAATTCTGACACAGCCCCCCCAACTCTGGGTTCCTGGTATGGGGTAAGTTTTTAGTAAATGTGAGATGCTGTGATTAGTACTGTGAATATGATGGCTATTTCAACAGAAGAATTATAAAGAAAGGGCTTCAGGAAGGGATTGGGAGTGACTCAAGCAGGCAACCATCAAAGCACTTTGTGCAAAGATCAGGTCCTTTTCTGAGCACTGAAAATTTGCCTATTTAGAGATGCGGCAAGCTGAAGTGACATTTACTCCCCGCGGAAGGACACAGGAGGCAGACGAGTGGTGAAGCTCATTATCTGGTGATGCAGCCGCAGACGTAATGGTCAAAGAACAAGACTTCCAGGGGCTGCCCCAAGTTCGCCACACACGCCTCTTGATTAGAAAGAATAGTCCATGCAAAGGTAGGGCATTTTACACAGCACTGCAGACATGCAGAGAAGGTGCTCAGAAAATATCTGTCGAAAGTCTGGTTAGAGGAGATGAGAAGGAATATCTAAGAGAAAAGCACAAAGATTTAGCAAATACATGGATCCTCATTTCTCAGCCTCCTTACCCCCACCCAAATCAATGGGTTGGCTTTATTATGTGCTGCTGCTCTCCTTCTCCTTTCCTGCATTGCCTCTTTCTCTTAAAATTGGCTCTGGTGCACCCCAATAGCTACAAACCCTTAGATACCCAGAGAGCACGTCCTCCTCCCCAGTAGAGCCGGAAGCATCTGTCCCAAACTGAGCTTCACTGTGAAAGAGACATTATTTCCACTCATGAGAGCTACAAGGTATGTGAAATAGTGAATTTCATGTAAATATATGCACACTCAAGTGTATAAAAAAGAAATTATTCTACAAAGACTGAAGAGGAACACTCACTGTCAAAAGACATTTTTAATTCTTGAGCATTTGCAGGGAAAATTGACTTTAAGCTTGGCTAAATCATGTAGAAACTGTGTTTTCTTATAAACATGGGAAAGAAACATTCAAGAAGTTTTATCAAAGAATGGGAAATCTAGCCTATTGCCCAGGCCTAGGCTCACCACTGTCCCCACCACCTCAAGCAGCACCCCCTTCCCTCCGTTCTGAGCTCACTAAGCCTTGTTGAGGAGTGGAAGATGGCAGCTGTGTGTGTCCATTGGCCACTGCAGCTGCCTCAGTGTCCACACCTCACCTCCCACCCGTAGACTCCCTCCACCTCTTCTAATAAGCTCCTTGCCCTCTGGTTTTGATTCGGAGCTCCAGCTACTGGCTCTGCCTGGACAGAGACCTAGGGAAGCCATCAGCCTGAGAGGCAAGAGGCAAGGCTTCATCTGAGGTTCAACCAAAGAAAAAGCGATTTGCTCCCCACTTGTCCAGGGGGACTTGGTGGTCCCAAGGGTGAAATCTTGGCCATCATCCCACCACAAGTTGGGAGAACGACTGCCTTTCCTTCTATCCTTTTGCACGTGCCATCAGGCTGCCCTTGGAGATTTGACCTGGGGCTCAACTGTGGACATAGGGAAAGGGTGAATAGGGAATAAAGAGGCACCAGAAGCCTGTATGCCTATTTCACGGAAAGGGCAAGACTTGGAAATTTGGAGAATTTCATTAAGATAGAGACATTCTTTCACAGCAAGCCTCATGTTTTGCATGTGGACATGATGGGTAAAGAGGTGGAGTTCTTCACCCAGGGTTCAAGGCCGGCCAGCTCATGGCTAATGTAGCAGGACTTTCAGCAAGACCCTGATGCTGTCGGAGTACACGGGGCTCTCTGCTCACCCCCTGATTCTGTGTAATGATCTCAGCTTCTTCCTGCCCTCACTCTCTGCCCACCAAGCTGTCCAACAGAAGGAGGCTTTTATAGACAGATGATAACTAGAGGAGAATCTGGAGATTTCACGTGGGCTTCCTGGCCAGCCATGTCTCCCATACAAACCAGCAGGACCCCAGAACCAGGGTCCCCACCAAGTCCTGAAACTCTTCAGTGGGTATTTTTAAGAGGAATCCCAGTTCAGCTCTGAAGTCAGTGAAACCATTCTGAAGGCTCTGCTTGCTACAGAATGTTTACTGAGAAAAGACACTGTGCCCAACTTTTCTGGACAGCTGTCCTTTAAAGACTTGGGCCACCAAATTCATCTCTGCCTTTCAGGAGGAAATTCATAGAAGCAGATTGGGCATTTCAGGCTTGAAATATGAAGGTATTATAATTGTCCTATTTACTTACGGTTAAACTCACAACAAAGTTTGGGGTTTGTGTCCCTTCATGTCTCCAGTTCTCCAACATCAGGCCCCATATTGAGGTCTCCATTAGCCCTGATGACACAGCTGGGAGCCCCAGGTCTCTGCTCCTGACAACTGCATTTAGTTTTGGCAGGTTGGATTTACAGTATCTCTAAGACATCAAAGTAAACAAGTTCAACGGACTGCCAGATTTGAAGCTCAGATGATAAATCTGAGCTGAAGTACAATACTTAGGATTTGTCACAGTAGTGTGGACAGATACCCCTGGGTATCTGGGGATACCCAAGGATAGCCCTGGGAGCCTGTAAGGTGTAAAGAGAATCCTGCTAGAGGCAGCACCCAGGATCCAGCCCAGGCTCTGCTGCCTCCCTCACTCCCCTCAGCCACACTCCAACCCAAGAGCAGGCATGACATCTCCCTCACCTGGCAACTGCATCCCTCCCTAACTACTCTGACATCACACCTGGCCTGGCCCCTGCAGTTGAGTGAGATCTCTGGCCTCCTAATTATCTTTTGCTATTCCAGGCAGTGCCCTTCCCCAGAAGGTATATCATAACTTTAGGTTCATTTCCAGGAGTCCTGCTTTATTTTGCTTTCTTAAATAAATGACCATCAAGATTTATACCATCACTTTCACAAAGTGATGCTTGTTGAACTTACGTGCATTTTACTTACATGAGTTTAATGATATGTGCTAGGCAAAAAGAGAAAGAGAAAGATAACCTTAAACATTCTGCAAAGACCAACTTTCCAACCGATAAGTGTAAGCCTTGAAGTGCACATGAGTGGGAGAACTAAATCTTTCATCCTCTCAATCTGTCTCTGTTTCTATTGGGCCAGCATTTAAAGACAAACATTTTGCATACAGCATGGCCCATAAATGCAAGCCTCCTAACTTCATCTGAGGCTCGACCAAACAAAAAGTGATTTGCTCCCACACCAAGGGGCAAATAACATCACTCCTTCCAAAGTGATGTTTCAAGGGTAATGAGACTTGATGTGATTGTTGCCTTCTGCCTACCTTTAGGAACTAACCTTATAAAAAACATGACTCCAGCCAAGCTTTCCCTCTGATAGGCACGTAATCCAACTCTCCTTCATAAAAATGTACTGTACTGCTTTATTACAAGATATTTTTATAAAGATCTACTACTAGACGGTAAAATCTCTAGATATAGAGTGTGAGAAAAGAGAACAGGGAAAGAAAGTGAAATCGAATCTTGTCCATGAACACTTTGGATTTGCTGTGGTGCTGGCAGCCATCTGGCTGTAGGAAGTTGCCACCTGGCAGATGGTAAGTTCCGGCAATTTGCTGGGAATTTCAATTGAAGGGACCTGTTCTTTAGCTGGAAATAGCTCAGGAAAGGGAAGGAAAACAGACTTGCATTGAGTTCTTGCCGCATGCCAGGCACTGTGACAGCACCCTGAGCGTGCTATTTCTTTTGACCTGCACAGTACCCTGTGGAACTGTCATGGTCCCCATTTACATTTGGGAAGCCTCCAGCTTAGGGAAGGCAATGCTCCAGGCATACTAGTAAGTGGCAACGCTGAAACCACATAATAGGATACAGAAATCCATGCTCTTTTTGTTGAAGAGTTTAACTCACAGATGCCAGACACTTAAGAGGCAGTGGCCTGCGACAGTCACCTCAGAACTGAGCTGCAAACACTTCTAAGGCTTCTGCAGAGTCACAATCCCACTTTGGAATCCTGATTCAGACCCTATCCAGGAGCTGGGGGAACTGTGTCCAGGGGTCGCTGGGCATGCGCCCCTCTTTTCTTCCTGTAGGGGGCAGCCACTATGTGTGCATTAAATGCAAACTGACGTCCTATTGGAGGAGAGGTGGACTTGGTTTGAGTTCTTTCAGAGGGGAGGAAAGGTTCCTAAGTGAGGGAGGGAAAACGAAGTAAAAATAAAGCCAGGAAATGTGATGAGGCAGAAAGCATTCATCAACAGAACTACCACAGGGAGGCAAGAGAAAAAGGGGGTGCGGTTGGCCATTGAGAGAGCCAGGATACTGAGAACAGTAAAGCTGCCTGCCCACAGTTCATCCATGGGTACATGGACCATGTGGGCCCGGCAGTGAGTATGATGGTTGATGGGCGTTCACAACAGACTGAAGATAGGAGACTCCCCTGGAATGCTCTGGACAAGCCCTTGGGACTCTCGTGTGGCTCTAAAAGGAGCAGTCCCTCCAAGAATGACAGATTTTGGACATCTGGTATACCCTTGCAAATAGGGCCACTAAGCCAAATTTAATTTGGTTCAGAAAAACAGAATAATGTGATGTTTGATGCAAAAAAAAAACAGCAAATGCTAACAGATAGGCAGAAATAGGTATCCGGACTTGGAAGTAGAAGACATAAAGAGGCATAAAGATGTGGAAGATGTGGGAGCAAATCACTTTTTCTTTGGTTGAGCTTCAGATGAAGTTAGGAGGCTTGAATTTATGAGCCATGCTGTATGCAAAATGTGTAACTTTAAATGCTGGCCCCATAAGAACAGCATAACAGCATAAAGATTTCACCTTAATATAAGGAAGAACCTTCTGATCAGTAACTAGATGATGATAAAATGGGTCATTCAAGAGGTAGCAAGTTCTGCATCCCTGCAGATATTCAAGCAAAAGCTGGGACCCCTTCTTCAGGAATGTTATGGAGCAGATTCCAGCATGGAGTTTGAGGCTAGACTAGATCATTTTTATATTGAACAGGCTGATTTTCTGTCGTTTAATGAATGAAACAGTGACTGCCTATACTAATAGTTTAAAATACCATTTTAAATAACTATTGGCTATATTAAATTAAAGGCACTTGGCAAGTCAAATTCCCAGCTTGTACCTATACCCAGGGTCACTTTATAATTCAGCTCTCAGGGTCCCTGTTCATTATCCCAAGCTATCTGGCAGCAAAACCTTTCAATATCCAAACAAGTGCCTCCTCCCTACAGGAAAGTACCATTCCTTTAATATGTCCTTTAAGATCATGGTAGTAGTTGTCCTTGGACAAGTCTCTGTAGGTTACTTTCTTTATTATTTTATCAAGTATGTCAATTACTGCCTAGACTGCAATTGTAAAGAACTATAAATACACTTATGTTATACATTATCAGACAACGAAAGTGAATATCATTGATGAATGTGCTTGTTCACCCTGTTCTACTTTGCAAACCAGTTAGCTTTTGTTTGGCTGACACAGCATTCTTCAAAAAATTGTAGCAGGGTACTTTTAGGGAATGCATGCCTGGCTCCTGCTTGTCACAGCTCTCATCGGGTCCAACGGTATTACACGACTGCTTCACACTTCACAGAGACTATCATTTCCTATGGATCTACCTTTGACAGTCGTCTAGGATGGCTACCAAATGAGAGCCATTTAATCTCAGTGGGTTTATAGAGTGTCAAACACAAACAATTGCCCCTTGTTATTTACCTGCTTTGTGCCCATGCCTCTGGCTGGCAAATGCTAGAAGCAGGTCTTACCCTACATGTGCAGCCCTCTGTCTGCTCCCAACAGGTTTCCAAGCACCTTGTGTAATAAGTACTTGTCAAACTGAATCAAAGACTATGTGTTCCCTCAGCATAGGACTGAGAATCGGAAATACTTACAGATGGATGGACACAAAAATGCAGACTAAATTTAAAATGACTGTGAAAATGAATGTTGCAGGGTGGTCTTGAAGATATAGATGTGTTCAGAAAACAAAAGCTGGTGTAGCCAGGCATGATGGCTGGTGCCTGTAGACCCAGCTATTGACCGGCTGAGGTGGGAGGATCACTTGAGCCCAGGATTTTGAATTCAGCCTGGGCAACATAGTAAGACCCCATCTTTAAAAAAAAAAAAAAAAAAAAAAGCTGATGTTGATAATAAAGCATTATACTAGCAATAGAAACGAGGATGCATGTAGGAACTTCCTTCTTACTACAAAGCTTTAACAGGCCATGGAAGATACAAGAGAAAGGTTTGTGTGCCAGGAGAAAACCTGAGGCCTGCCACCTATAGCTTCCAAGACATATTGGGGACAATTGTGGTCTGGGTAGGGTTTGCTTTCCCAAAAGCTCACAGGTGGTCACAGCAGCACCAGACTTTATGCTTCTCTTGTTGCAACCTCTCTTCTAAATGCCTGGAACAGTGCTGGGCACAAAATCATCCAAGCATAGTTATTGATGGCTTGATTACAATTTCCTAGCAATGAGATGCACACAGTTTACAAAATGTCTGCAAATGTGGTGATTCTTACCTTCCAAGTCTCATGATATCACAAACTGAATAGCAGTTTTGCCTCACATCCTTTTCCAAAGAGGTCGCCAATGTTGATTCATCCCTTTCTTGGTGAAGTTTGCATAAATGAGGGTGGGACTCAGGAGAATGTGTCAAGGAACTGGCCCAAGGTCTCTCTCTGTTTTGGCCCCATTGTGCCTCTCTGATGGCCTTTTGGGAAGACTCTGGCCTGAGACCCAGGCCTTCCCCTGCATCTGGGGAGGCACTGTCCCTCCAGCTGTCCTCTTGATCCAGGATGGGGCTGGTACATGAGTCAGTACATGTTGCCCTGGTGAATTCTTTGTCAGCTGAGAGTTCAGGTGTCTATTAAAAGAAATGCTACTGATTACTGGCTGCGGGATGCACATTGTTTTTTTAAAAATACAAAGCTTTTTTCCCCCATGTGATTATAGATCAGAGTAGTTACAAGATGGGCTTTGAGGTCTGTCTATCACCATAGCATCCCAGCTCCTCCACATGCTCCCGGCTGGACACTGGGCAACACACTCAGGCACCTTGGCTTTGGAAGCTCTCCATAAATGTGAGCCTTATTTTTAAATAAAAAATATTTGCAAAATTTAGACAAAGATAAAAATGGAAGATAAATATGCAAAACAATGACTCTATTCCACTCTCCGATAAGAAATGTTTTCTTTTTAAGTTTTTCATCTTCATCTGTCATCTCAGGGCTTGTCTCCCTGTCTCCACCCCCATCAAGGTGATGTTCTTTCCTGGGTCTCCTCCTCACTTTCCCAGACATGACTTGCTTCGTCTCAACTGCTCACCTCCCTGTCAGCCTTTTAGGTTCTGGTTTTGATGATGTGCTATGTCTTGCTGCCACTGCTTGACCTTCTACAGAAAAACAATCTGTGTTTCAGTAGAAAACTGTTTTTATCTACAGCAGAACCTGCTGGGTTCTCTGATTCTGGCTGTCTCCACTGTCTTTGAGCTATTTTACAACTCTATAAATAAACAGGTCCTTTGAAATCTCTTTTGAGCCAGTTTTAACATCTGCCTGGTTCCCTCACTGAATGAGTTAAATAAAATCTTTAACATGTGTTCATTTTTATATCTGTAGGAATCATGATTTTACCTTTTCCTGAAAATTATCTTCCAGCACTTCCACCCCATGATCTCCATACCTGATGTAATAGAGCCCATGCCTGGGTTCCCACCCCTGCCCTCACCTACAAAAGAAGAACCACCCCAATGAGTGGTCTCCCCACATTTCTGATTGTACATCCCTAACAATGAGAGGGATACACCTCCAAATGTGCACATTTATTTAATTATAAATCATAAACATTTACTACTCTTCTGATAGGCTGGACATTATAAAGGATACACCAAAAATCAAAATTTTAAGAAGACCATATTTTGTCACATTTTCATACTCTTTGGAGAGACCTCCAAAATCTGTTTTCTAACCTATCCTCTCCTTCTAGCTCATTATCCCTGGACATGCTCTCCAGCAATCCTTCCCCACTCCAAGACCTCCAGTCTGTGGAGCTGCTGCTTTTCATCATTACCCCCACTCCCCTTCCCTGTCACACATGTCCTCGGTGTGCCTCTTATTCTGCTTAGATTCCATGGCTCTGCCCCTAGATGCTCACTTACAGACAAGGAAGACCCTGAGCTCCCACCTCCTTGCCCCTCTCTTCCTCCATCACGTGTCACTTGCAGATTCTGAGTTTCCATTTTAATTCCTACTCAAACTGTGTGAACCTCACCCCTGCTTCTGAGCCTCTGACTAGATTAGCTTCAAGTGTGTGACTGCAGATGTCAAATGGGCAGTCAAGACTTCCACATAATCTTTCTCTGTGTCCTTAATCCATTCAGTTTTCTACCTCTGCTCTCTAAATTATTTCTCATCTTGTCTCTCTCTTCAAGTTTCTAACAACTCCACCCTGAACTTGCCTGTGACCTCACAGTGAGAATGGACACGTTCAGATGAGAACTCTTCATCTTCCCACAGCAAATTCCACTGAGCAGCCTGTGCCCCTACCCCAACTTCAGCTTCCACCTCTCGCCACCCATTTCTGTGCTCTACTTCATGGCAGCCTCTTAGATGAGTGTCTCTTCTCACCGTTTCCACGCCTCCCTCCTTCTTTCTTGCACCCACTAGCACCAGCCTTCTGTCCTTACCACCCAAGGGAAGGAGCCCACATCAGGGTCCCCAGCGACCTCTATCTTTCTAAAGCTGAAGAACAATATTTTGTCCTTTCACTCTCTCTCTCAGCAACGTTCAACAAAGTGTGTCCCTCCCTCCTTCCTGAGAGCTTCCTTGCTCATTAGCCCTACTTACATGGAGTTGACCATGAGCCCCACCCTTGCTTGGTTTTTCCACCAATTCCCAGGCCCCATCTTAATCTCATATGTTGTCCCATCTCTGTACCAGGCCTCTCAATGTTGTTATGCTCTGTGCTGACTTCTCAGTCCTCTCCTTGAACTTATCTGCACTCTTTCCCAAGGTGATCTCAACCATTTCATGGCTTTACACGACCTCTATATATGCTGACAACTCCCAAATTCACTTTTCCCAGCCCTGATCTCATGCCTATTCTCCACAACTGCCTAATAGACTCTTCACTGGATAGCCTATAAACATCTCAGTTTTAAATGATACCAAGAACTATTGTTTCTCTTCCATGCACCCCAGATGGCCTTCCCCAGCCCCTGTAAGCAGTCCCTCTCTTGGGAACTGGTACCAAGAGAGATGAAGTGGAAAATAGGATCTATGATTACCCTCCTAAAGCATGAAATAGGTATATGTGATCTAGTGCAAAGAAGAGAGGTATTGGAATCAGGAAAATCAGGCTTTTTACCTTCTTACCCCTCCTTCACCCTGCATTGGTGGTACCACCATTTCCCCAAGGCTTCCTCATGCCAAAGCTTGATTGCTCTCTTTCCTCATGCCTGTTTCTAATCCCAAAGTAGTCTCCTGAACTCCGCCTCCCAGATGTATCCCAAATCTGGCTGCTTCTTAACACTTCAGCTACAGCCTGAGTCCAAGCCACATCATGTTTGACCTGAATGACTGCTGCTTGACCTCCTTTAGTCCCTGTGCACCAGTAACCCGAGTGGCCCCTCTGAAGAACGGAGGAGGGCATTTCCTGCTTAACCCTCCGTGCCAGCCCAGTGGCTTCCCACTGCATGCAGGATGGTGGCATCATGCTCCTCTGATCCCCAAGGCCCTCCAGGGTCCCTGCCACCTCCACAACTTCCTCCACTTCTGCTTCATTAACGATGGCCCAAGCACACTTGTATTTTTGTCCCTCAAACATCCAAGTGGGTTCCCATCTCAGGGCCTTTGTTCATGCTGTTCCTTCTGCCTGGAATGCCCTTACCCCAAATGTGGGCATGGCTGCCTCCTTCTCAGAGGTGCTTTACTTTATGGACTAAATGCTTGCTCCCCAGAGCTGCTGACCCTTGTTCTGCAATCTGACCACTGGAGCCACCCAAGCAAATCACAATCCTCCCACTTGGCCTTCGGGTATGAGGAGGGAAAGCTCACCCCCACACCTCACCTGGACCCTTCCTGCTAGATCTTTATGGGCTCTCCTGGGAGGAGCTATTCTCCAGGATGGAAGTACCACTTTTTTCCCTGGGATTTCCTAGATATTTCAACAAAAACACAGGGTCCCAGCACCTTGGCCTGAATTTGTGTGTGTGAAATTTGGCCCTCTCTCACCTGGTTCGGTTTCTTAACACAATTGCTGCTGTCTACCTTCTTTTCCAACCCAGCAACTTTTGGATATCTTTCCCATAGCTCTTCCCTCCCTAGAGGCTATGTCAAATGACCTCTTGGAGTCTAAGCATCAACAGGATCTGGGACATCAAGTCCTTTATGTTGTCCTAGTGATGGTGTCACCCTCAGGCACAATAAGTGATCACTTTTATCCACATCCTAGAGATGAGGAATCATGGGGCCTAGAGAGGACAGGCAACTGCCCAAGGCCCATGCAGCACAGCAGGTACAGGTGATCCAGGTACCCGCCCAGATCCCCCTCCAGGACTGAGATTCGCATCCTACTGCCTCATCTCCCCTCCCCTGGGGCAGCCCACACCCCAGCGCTGGTTAGGGCAACAAGCAAAGGCACAGGTTCTCTTGTCCCAATTCATGGCAGCTCCAAGGGGCCATCTCTGCTCCAGGGCTCCCTCCAGAATCAGCTGAGGCCCTGTTTATAGCTGCACATTGATCTCTCCTTCTGCCCCACCCCACCTCAGTCACCCTCACAGGGGATGTTCTCAAGCGCAGGCCCCATAAAACCTCCCACGCTCACATCTCTGCTGCAAAATCTGTTTCCTAGGAACCCCACAGAAGGCATGGCAATGGGTAATTGTATCTGTCAACTTGGCTAGGCCATGGTACACAGATAGGCGGTCACATACCATCTAGATGTCACTGTGAAGGTATTTTTTTTTAGATGTGATTTGACATTTAAATCAGCAAACTTTGAGTAAAACAGATTGTCTTCCATAATGTAGTGGGCCTCATGCTGTCAGCTGAAGCCCTTAAGAGGAAAGACTGACCTCTCTGAGGAGGAGGGAGTTCTGCCTCCAGACCACCTTTGGGCTTGATCTCCATCAATTATTCTCTGGGTCTCCAGCCTGCTGGCCTCCCCTGTAGAATTGGACTGGCCAGCCCTCAAAATCACATGAACCAATTCCTATAATAAATCTCTTTCTCTCACTCTCTTCATATATAAACACACACATAAACACACACACACACACACTCATTCTATCTGTTCTATTTCTCTGAGAACCTGACTAATATATGTGTCAAGGTAAAAATCCCTATTTTCCTGATTCCAATGGCTCTCTTCTTTGAACCAGACTGCACGTGCCTATTTCATGCTTTAGGAGGGTAATCATATATCCTATTTTCCACATCATCTCTCAGAATGGAAATTCTTATTGGAAATTCCCTTGGTCTGCTTCTGTGTCTACTCTCCTTCTTCCCAGGCTTCCCTCTCTGATGCCTGAGCTTCCAGAGAGCCTGGCCCTAAAAGTTTCACAGCCAAAGTCTAAACATGTAAACATCTACAAGAAGACCCAAATGTCAGAAGAGGCAGAATCAGGGAGAGGAAGGAGACCTACTGAGGTTTGGGGGCCAGCTATTTTCCTACCCCTGTGAAAGGAGGTGGCACTGAACCTATCTACAACCCTCTTAGGACCCTAGAGTCTGGAAAAGGGGGGCCCAACCAGAGCCAGGTAGAGAGAGTAGAAGACACTGCAGCCTACCTGCCATTCCTGCTCCAGCTCAGGCAGCGCACCTGGAGGGGGTCGGCAAAGGAGGAGCGTGACTTCCTGTGGGGCCCCTCTCAGTAAATGCAGCACCTCCTGCGAAAAACCAAGATTCACTGTTAGATTTGGGCTTGCATTGCTGGGGATGCAGTGATGTTCTCCCCACTGCGTCCCAGGCACTAGCTCCTCCTCCCTGCACCTTGATCTATTTCTCACTCCAGAGAACTCCGGAGAACCCTGCTGTGGGCCTGACTTTTCAAAGTGCAAGGAACCAAGGTCAGTGGCCTGCAGCTTCCACAAAGTTGATGCAAGATGCTGGGCTGTGCATCACCTTTGTGCAGCTTGGGTTCTGGGAACCTCTCATCTGTAATATTGCAGTAACCTCCTCTCCGCTCCCTGCCTTCACCAGTGTCACCCACCTGCCTCCTTCCACATTGCTCAAGGGAATGGCAATATCTGCCAATACCAATGCCTTTTCTTCAGAGAGAGAAAGAATGACTCCAACAAATAGCTGTTCATCTCAATTGCCCTTTCCTCCCAACCTGCCCTCATCTTGGGCCAGCAATTTTGCAGCCTCCACCATCTGAATCTCTAAAGCCTGACCCTTGGCTCTGAGCTTCCTATCAGGGCTCGGCTTGGGCTCTGGGAACCTCTCACCTGTAGTATTGCAGTGACCTCCTCACTGCTTGCTGCCTTCTCCAGTGTCACCCACCTGCCTCCCTCTGCAATGCTCAAGGGTAGTTTTCCACAGTGCAGATATAACTGAGTCCTTCCCCCACTGCACACCCTGGCTGACTCACTTTTCCCTCAATGTAAGCTCCAAGGCATAGCACATAGACCCCGTTTCTGCCTGCCTCTGCCTCTCACCACAGTTCCCTCTCTCCCATCTACTCCCCTCTGCACCCACGTCCTAAGCCCCTGCCATGCTGAATCTGTTGCTCCAAGCCACCCTCTCAATGTCCAGGGTTCAAGGTTGCCTCGATAGCTCCTATTTCCTATTTAGACCAGGATTTCTCAAACTCTTGGCACTGTTGACCTCTCAGGCTGGACAATTCCTTATGCGAATGCCTGTCCTGTGCATTGTAGGTTGTTTAGCAGCATCTCTGATCTCTACTCACTAGATGCCAGAAGCACTCATCAGTTGTGACAATCACAAATGTCTCTGGACTTAATCAAATATCCCATGAGAAGGAAATAATCTCTGCTTAAGAACTGCTGATCAAGACACTCCCCAGTCCCTGCTTCAGCCACACAGGACTTCCAAGGGGTGCACTTCTTTCCTGGCTCACTGGTGTGAGCACTGCAGCATGGGCTTTCATCTCTCAGGATACATATCTCCTGCCATCACCGCTGTTTTCTGTCCATGAGCTCTGAAACTGCATGAGCTGTCTTCCTCTGTGTCTTCAGTCTCTCATAGAGTTGCCAGCCCAGCAGTGGTTCTCAGAGAAGGGTTCTTGGATCAGGAGATGGATGGATGAAGGCATGCCCTCCCACCCAAGCATATGGTGTTCTAGAGACCTCCCCCCAGCCCTGCCCAGAGCCACTGTCCCCCTTTGTCCATCTTGCTTTGTGTTTCTGGAGCTGACTTATAAAGGCTGCATGAGGCTTCCTGTTGGGCTCAGCTAGGGGAACACGGCAAGAGACCAGAGACAGGGAGGAGCGGAGGTCATTGCTCCTTCCAAATTCCTCCCTTCAGGTTGCCATGGGACGACTACAACCTCAGCCAAGGTGAGAGCTCATGCCAGCGAGTCCCCTCCAACAGCTCTCCATTCCTGGGGTGGAATAACTGCTCTTTCCCTTCCCCTTTGGCCTCAGGATAGGGGTAACTGCATCCCACTCTTCCTAGCCCTAGGCCACAACATGCTCCCTTGAGCTTCCTAACAACCTGCCCACACCTTTATTAAATGTTCCTCAAATGACTCCATTTTCTTCCAGGACTCTGTCTAATATATACAGTATTTCATTACTCTCTCTTCTTAAATTGCATTTTTTATCATAGACAGGACAATCAGTGTAATAATGTATGAAAAGCTGTAAATGTGTTGAGAAATGGGAAGGAGAGCAGAAAGGGACCCACTCTAGTCCCTTCAGCCCCATGCCCACCTCCCAGGATGTGTGTGAAGAGACGTCAGCCAGCACAAAGGCCAGGGCTTTATCTTCAGCTTCTCTCATGAACCCAGTGAGAAGCAAGGCTGACTCAAGGTCAGATATTTAAAAACAGAGATTTTAAATTAAATGTGAGCATGTACCACTAATTACTCTCTTTGTGTGATTAAAATCCGGGCTGCTGGTATGATTTTTGAGAGCCCAGAGTTTTCCCCACGGCAGCAGGCTAGTAAGAGGCAAAGCTGGGGCCAGCCTGCACAGAGAGCTGCATTGCCCATGACCCCCGGCACCTGGAAGATGAGGCCTTCCGTGGACCTTCCATTCACGGCCAGGATAATGTCACCAGCTGCAATGGCCCCATTCTCCTCAGCTGGCTGCCCCGGAAAGAGCCTCTTAATCCTCACAAGATCACTTTTGAGATGGCTGCAGCTCTCTTTCTCCATCTGCACGAAACTGAATCCCAAACCATTGGCATTCTTTTTTAGTTTGACTTCAAACTTAGGACCTGTAGTGTGGGATGTTGATAAAAATAAATTCTTCAGTAGATTACAAGTGAAATTGACCAGTCTCAAAATGCAAATTGTCAAGTAGATGAATTATTTCTTTTACGTTCAAATAATTCCTTTGCTAATTTTATGACAGAGTACATTATGTATGTTATAGATTAGTGCTGTCCAATAAAATATAATGTGAGCTATAAATACAAACCACAAATGTCATTTTGAAGTTTTCAAATAGCTACATTAAAATAAAAGGAAAAAGCAAACAAAAAATAAATAAAACAATTTAAAAAGTAAAAGGAAACAGGTTAAATACGCTATAATCGTACATCTAATTTAATCCCATATATCTAAAATATTACCACTTCAACATGTCATCAATATGAAAAAATTATTAACGAGATATTTTTTATTCTTCTTACGAACTAAGCTTTCAAAATCCAATACATATTTTATCCATTTAGATTGGTCACATTTCAAGTCCTCAATAACCACATGTGGCAAGTGGCTACCATATTGAATAGCACAATTATAGATAACTCAACTATGTTTATACATAAAGATATAGCTGCTAGGCATACACAACATGCTCTTGGCATTTAATAAAACTTGTATCACATACATTCCTATTACTCCTTTAGAACTCTAGTCATTTGTAGTATACTTGAAACTAAATTTTGCATAATTAGACCATGGAGAAAATTATGGCCAATTCTATGGACAATGCTTTAGCTGCCATTTTGTTTACCCATGTAGGCTGACCATAAGACAAAACAGTTGCCTCTGGGCACCAAGGATGAACAGAGCTGGCAACCTACATGGTCTGTCCACCAAAGAGGCCTCTGGGCTGCCCCGCTGGCATCAATGCACAGAGGGACAGAGCACAGCTTGCAAACTTCACCAGGGCAAGAATGGAAGCATGTGAAGCAATTATGTGAAGCAATTATGTGAAGGTGTGTCACACGACCAGTTCTACCATCGCCCTAAGGCCTCCTCCACTCTTTGGAGTCCATTTCTCAAAGGCCCCAAGGGAGTGAGCAAAGGGGTGAGGACAGAGGAGACTTGATTTAAACAGAAGCATGCCCCTTTGCCCCACCCCTACCCTATGGCTGGCTTGAGTCTTCTGCAGCAAAATCAGAAAATCTCTATGAAGGGACTAAAACATGGCTAAGGTCCAAATCGTTCTTACTGAGGAAATCAGCGTGTTCCTGGCAAATACCAAAATCACAAGGGAATTGCAGAGGGGCAGCCCATCGGAAAACGTGCAGTTTTGTCCCTCTAAACGATCTTTCGTTTGCCTTTTAAAATGATGCTAATAACAAGGCTAGATTCCTGAACCTTCTCTCCCAACCTGCCTAGTCATTCCTCAAATAACTTTGTTACAAATGACTTGGCTGGACTGTGAAGCCAAATGTATCTGAAAGTGTATGACCCTTTCAGTCAATTTCATCCTAAATATTCACACAAACATTAACATTCTGGCAGCTGATCAAAGGACTGAGGAAGGCTGGGGGCAGAAAGATGCCTAGAAATAATTTGGGGAAAATGCATTTGTTTCCAGAAACCTATTCCATGAGATGGGCTTCCATGGCATGAAAAAGCAGATCTCAGCATGATCACTATGGCTCGCTTTCTTTTCAGGACCCAGAGGAAGCCTTCCTGCCTTTCCCTTTTGACTTGACAATTCAAAAGCGGCACACAATAACATGACAATAGTAACACTCAATTCTCTCCCCTCTCACCATCTGTCACTGAGACACAGCTCGAAGGCCTGCCAGGCAAGGCTGTTACCAAGGAAACAGCCGTGCGTTCATCTCCCATGCTGTCATTAGCAGAAGGACACTGCTGTGTACTCCTGGGGACTCTTCTCTCTAAGACCAGTCTTGCAACCTAGAAGGAAAGGTGAACAAACTCAGTTTACACTTCATATGGCAACCAGGAGGCACTCCCTTGACTCTGCAAATGCTTCTTAATTTTCGAATCCTTCCTATAAGCAGACTCATTTGAATCTCTCAACTAGCCTATATATTGGGATCTAGACCCAGATTTCTCAGTGCTTATTAGACAAGTGCACCTGAAAGCAACACATGTACCTCCACTTCACACATGCAGTGCCACACTCATCTTCCTCCCCTCACTCACCCTCACTTCCCCTCCTCGTTCTTCCTAAAACACTCCTCCCCTCGCATTGGCTC